>NT_187557.1:0-75005 GCF_000001405.40 Homo sapiens
GATCCTTATTAAGTTTAGTAAATTTTTGTAAAGTATCCAATGCAGCAACGCATGATCTTAAATGTCACTGAGAAGTATAGGAGTTAGTTTGAAAGTTTCCAATGCTTCATTTTTCTTTGCTTTTCTTTGTTATTTTTGTTTTAGATTCAGGGGGCCCGCATGCAGGTTAGTTACAAGCGTATATTGTGTGATGCTGAGGTTTGGGCTCCTGTTGATCCCATCGCCCAGATAGGAAGGTGTTCAGCCCTTCTCCCTCTTGGGGATCCCGGTGTCTATTGTTCCAGGCTCGCTTATAAGCAGGAGCTAACACTGGGTACCGTGAGCGTCACTGCTTCATTGTGAATGCCCTGCCAGGTCACACACTCATTAGCTAGTTTCTCCAGGCTCTGGTACGCTCGGGAAAGTTTGTCCAATTTGGAGAGCAGGATGTAAATTCATTTCTGGCTTCAGCAATTTTGCCATTTCCTTTTTTCTCCTGGCTTAGCCTTGACTGGATGGGCGTTTCAGGCCAGCTTTTCAAGACCTCATTCGTGGTTCCCCAGGATCTGCCTCTGCCATTTCTCCGAGGTCGCCTACTGGTTTTGCCTCATGAGCAGCCCATGGGTAGGCGTCATCTGCAGTAAACTGCGGTTTGGCTCAGGAAGCTAAAGTGAGAGATGTGAGCACCGGCTGCCCCACAGGTGCCCTCAGGGTAACCGCTTTACCGCAACTTGCCCATGAGGCCTGGGTCCCAGACAGCCTTGAGAAGGCCCTACTAACACGCACAGTGTCACAGCAGTGTGTGCTGTCTGTTTTTTAAAAATTACCATATAGGCTTTTGTCATACTCTTAGTAAATATTCACGTTCATAACTTATTTGGGATTGTTTTTGTTAAAGAGAATCCCCAAAGCTATAAAAGCTCCAGGCCCCACAGAGCCCAGCTTTGCCTGACGCATGGGACAGTGAGTTGCCCAGTCGGCCTCCATATGAAATACTAGTTAGGCTTAACTTCTTTTTCATTCTTAGAAAACAAAATGAAGAAAAGTTTTCTCCCTCCCCTATATGAGTGATTTTGTGCACCTTACCTTGAAGGACACTGACTTGAATTTCAGGGTTTTATTGCCCTTGGTAGGGGAAGAAGTTCTGTGTAAACCTCAATCACAACAGGCAGCCAGCCCGCTCTGAACCCAGAAACGAGATAACAGCTCCTGCAACGATAAACACCTGCAGATGAAACAACTCCTGCAACGATAAACACCTGCAGATGAGACAACTCCTGCAACGATAAACACCTGCAGATGAGACAACTCCTGCAATGATAAATACCTGCAGATGAGACAGCTCCTGCAACGATAAACACCTGCAGATGAGACGGCTCCTGCAACGATAAACAGCTGCAGATGAGACGGCTCCTGCAACGATAAACACCTGCAGATGAGACGGCTCCTGCAAGGATAAACACCTGCAGATGAGACGGCTCCTGCAACGATAAACACCTGTAGATGAGACAGCTCCTGCAACGATAAACACCTGCAGATAAGGTGCCGTCGGACAGGCGTCTCGGTGGACCTGCTTGGTTTTTGTTTTGTTTGTTTTTTGTTTTTTGTTTGTTTTTTTGTTTTTTGTTTGTTTGTTTGTTTGTTTGAGACAGAGTCTCCCAGGCTGGAGTGCAGTGGCTTGATCTCGGCTCACTGCAACCTCCACCTCCCGGGCTCAAGCGATTCTCCTGCCTCAGCCTCCCGAGTAGCTGGGATTACAGGCGCCCGCCACCACGCCCAGCTTAATTTTTGTATTTTTAGTGGAGACGGGGTTTCACCGTGTTAGCCAGGATGGTCTCAATCTCCTGACCTCGTGATCTGCCTGCCTCAGCCTCCCAAAGCAGGACCTGCCTGTTTTGAGGGGGATACAAAAAGAACACAAATCATCTGTCCTGTAGCAGTTTGCAGCTGGCTAGGAAGATGAAGCACCAGGTCGAAGCACCAGGAGGCCGACTGCAGCAAAGGCCAACTAGAGTGGTGTGGAGTAGAAAGGAAGGGCCTACGGGGATTGAGGGAAGGCGGAACACGGTGGTGGACACTTTGGGTGGTCTTTGAAGAAATGCTTTGAAGAGTTGAGGAGGGAAAAAGGAAAGGATACGCGATGGGGGAAGAGATCATGAAAGCCTAAAATACAAGTGCCCTAGTCCAAAGATGGGGAAGAGACCGCCAGCTGGAAAGGCTGAGCAGAGAGGGCGAATGTGAATGTCCCATCCCAGGACTTGACCTTGCCCAACAGGAAACGGGTGGCCTTTGAGTGGGCGTAGACTGTCAGGCAATGTTACAGGAAGATCCGTCTCCTGGTGGTGTGCAAGGTGCTGCGGGGGAAAGGTGATGAGTTACGAGAGGTTCTAGTGACATCTACAAGGCAGATGGGAGTCAGGGTCAGGGAGACCATAAAGAAGCAGCAAGATATGTCCCTACCCCCCAACCCCAGCCAAACCTCAAATGTATACAATCCGGCGTTTTTCAGAAAATGCTTGCAAAGCCCTGGAACATACCAGCACAAAGTCCCAGCTCTGATAGTAACTGCTGATTCAAATTAACCAGTGAATCACTTAAACATTTTGTTTCTTTAAAGTATGTTTTTCCTCCTAGTGGACACAGCTGACTTGGTGACCCAGTGCCTGGCCCTTTCAAGTCGGTTTCCTTAATCAAACCACAAACCAACAGATAAGTGGGGAGGAGCAGGGGTGAAGAGAGCAGCCCCAGCCCAGTGCCTCCTGCTGTTCCAGCAGGGACACACCCCCCCCACCCCCACCCCACCCCCAGGGATCAAAGAGAGCCTGGCTCTCCTGCACGCTCTCCACAGGGGAGAAAAACGCCTAATATAATTAAAAATACCCTGCAATTTGGTATGATCTGAAGCTGTGACATTTTGTTACCAAGGATTAAGGCTTATGGAGAGCAGTCGACTCACCACCAATTTAGAAGATCCTGAATGTTGAACCTTCTGTGTAGAGAACTCACTATCTGGTGTCTGCTGGAATATTTTCTCAGATCTACTCACTTCCGTGTGTAGAAACCATTTTCAAGGTGGAAGACACAGCATTTCCTTTCCACATCAAAGGCCGTTGGCCCAAAGCTGAAAAATTTCACTCAACAAACAGTGTGATCCCATTTGATCAATGAAAAGAATAGGAAAAAGGAAAGAAATATGGAAACATGCACATTGATGGCCAGTCTTACGTGTCAGGCTGTGTGTTAGATGGCTCGATCACATTTATTCATTCCATAAACTATTTCTTGAGCCTCCTCTCAGACTGTGCCAGCCACGTGGGCCTGTAGGGAGCACTGCCAGGCAGGATTCCCACCTTGGCAGAGCCCACAATTCACCACCAGGGAGACAGATGTTGATCCAGTGACCACAGAAATACATCTGCAGCTACAACTGGGCAAGTGCTACAGGGGAAAGGGACTTACCTCATCCCTGAGAACCTATAATACAAGGGAGATTCAACATTTATCAGGAGGTAGAAAATGCTTCTCCAGGAGTATAAGGCTTGAGCCAGCCTCTGCACAATGCGGAGGGGTTCGCTGGGTGCAAGACGGAGGAGGGAGTCTGGGAAGAGTCCGGGCGGGGAGGAGGTGCAGGGGTCTCTTTATGAGAGGGGGCAGGGCCCCTGAGATAAGAGCTGGGACACGGCAGAGGCAGACCACACTGGGTAGACGTGTCGGTCACACTCAGGGTTCTGGTCTTTATCTTCAGAGCACTCGGAAGACACTAAAATGTCTTGAGAAGGACGCTGACATGAGCATAGATGTGCTTTGAAACTATTACCCTAACAGATGTGAAGGAGCTCTTCAAGGAGGACTACAGACCACCGCTCAACCAAATAAGAGAGAATAAAATACCTAGGAATCCAACTTACCAGGGATGTGAAGGATCTCTTCAAGGAGAACTACAGACCACCGCTCAACCAAATAAGAGAGCACACAAACAAATGGAAGAACATTCCATGCTCATGCATAGGAAGAATCAACATCATGAAAATGGCCATACTGCCCAAGGTAATTTATAGATTCAGTGCTACCCCTATCAAGCTACCAATGACTTTCTTCACAGAATTGGAAAAAACTACTTTAAAGTTCATATGGAACCAAAAAAGAGCCTGCATTGCCAAGACAACCCTAAGCCAAAAGAACAAAGCTGGAGGCATCACATTACCTGGCTTCAACCTGTACTACAAGGCTACAGTAACCAAAACAGCATGGTACTGGTACCAAAACAGAGATATAGACCAATGGGTCAGAACAGAGCCCTCAGAAATAATGCCACATATCTACAACCATCTGATCTTTGACAAACCTGACAAAAACAAGAAATGGGGAAAGGATTCCCTATTTAATAAATGGTGCTGGGAAAACTGGCTAGCCATATATAGAAAGCTGAAACTGGATCCCTTCCTTACACCTTATACAAAAATTAATTCAAGATGGATTAAAGACTTAAATGTTAGACCTAAAACCATAAAAACTCTAGAAGAAAACCTAGGCAATACCATTCAGGACACAGGCATGGGCAAGGACTTCATGACTAAAACACCAAAAGCAATGGCAATGAAAGCCAAAATAGACAAATGGAATCTAATTAAACTAAAGAGCTTCTGCACAGCAAAAGAAAGTACCATCAGAATGAATAGGCAACCTACAGAATGGGAGAAAAATTTTACAATCTACCCACCTGACAAAGGGCTAATATCCAGAATCTACAAAGAACTTAAACAAATTTACAAGAAAAAATCAAACAACCCCATCAAAAAGTGGGCAAAGTATATGAACAGACACTTCTCAAAAGAAGACATGTATGCAGCCAACAGACACATGAAAAAATGCTCATCATCACTGGTCATCGGAGAAATGCAAATCAAAACCACAGTGAGATACCGTCTCACACCAGTTAGAATGGCAATCATTAAAAAGTCAGGAAACGACAGGTGCTGGAGAGGATGTGGAGAAATAGGAACACTTTTACACAGTTGGTAGGACTGTAAACTAGTTCAACCATTGTGGAAGACAGTGTGATGATTCCTCAAGGATCTAGAACTAGAAATACCATTTGACCCAGCCATCCCATTACTGGGTGTATACCCAAAGGATTATAAATCATGCTGCTGTAAAGACACATGCACACATATGTTTACTGTGGCACTATTCACAATAGCAAAGACTTGGAACCAACCCAAATGTCCATCAGTGATAGACTGGATTAAGAAAATGTGGCACATATTCACATGGAATACTATGCAGCCACAAAAAAGGATGAGTTCATGTCCTTTGTAGGGACATGGATGAAGCTGGAAACCATCATTCTGAGCAAACTATCCCAAGGACAGAAAACCAAACACCGCATCTTCTCACTCATAGGTAGGAATTGAACAATGAGAACACGTGGACACAGGATGGGGAACATCACACACATGGGCCTGTCATGGGGTGGGGGAGGCGGGAGGGATAGCATTAGGAGATATACCTGATGTAAATGAAGAGTTAATGGGTGCAGCACACCAACATGGCACATGTATACATATGTAACAAACCTGCCCTTTGTGCATATGTACCCTAGAACTTAAAGTATAAGAAGAAGAAGAAGAAGAAGAAGAAATTATTACCCTAACAAAAAACTAATATAAGAAGACAAAGAAGGGAGGCAGTGAGGCCAGGAGAGGTCCGCATGGTGAAGGATGAGGGCTGCCCCCCACCTAGTGAGGATGGGGAGGGACAGATGCCCAAGCACCCAAAGCTATTGGCTGTTGGGGAGATTAGCAACAAGTGCAGGAGTGGATCAGGGAGTGAGGAGAGGGTGAAGGAAGGGATCATTCCCAGGTGACAGCTTGCATGATATTCCCTTTATAGCACCATGTCTAATCCTCCCCAACCTTGTCCTCTGAGCCTTGCAGAGCACATGCCGAAACAGTAAGGGGGACTATGCTCCCTGACCACCTCCCAGCCCCCAGGGGCTCCTCTCGCTCTGCAGGCTGTGTTTCTCACCTAAGCCACACTGGCCCTCAGGACTCCCAGGACTCCCCTTGAAATAGACAGATAAGTGCCCAGGCAGGCTAAGCTGCAGGACCTGTGCCTTGCATGTGGCTCTGTGGCTCAGCATCCTCCAAATTGACACTCACTGGGGGTCGTCCCTGATGATCCCAGCTAAAGCCAAGTATATTTGTAATCGTAATTTCAGATTGTAATACAATATTTATATAATCCGGTAAAATATGACTGTGGAAGGGGGTTATTCCTTAAAAATAAACCAAAACACCACGCTGTTTTAGGAAAAAGTGATAAAGGTAAGTCACCTAACAGACCACCAACAAATTGAGTGGAGATGAGAGAACTGAAAAAGCTTGAGAAGCAATCTCTGCTCAGCCCGGGTTGTGGGGTAGTGGAAGTAATCATGTAATAGAATCTACTGCAGGCAGTCCACTTGGGGTCTGCTCTTTCCCAGCTCCTCTGGATCACACTCTACATTCCCAAGTCCATTTGGGTCTTGTTTTGTGCTTTCTGTTTGGTTCACATGATCTCCGTGGCAGTACCACAGTATCTGATAGGGCAAATCCATCCTGGTTGCTCTTCTAGATGTGGACTTCACATCTTAAATAGTACTCTTCGATTTTGGTTGATTAAGTAGAGGGAACCTATAGATTCATGGTCCAAATTATAACAGCACAATTTATAGAGCCATCTGGCTTGGCTAGTAGGCAGTTAATATTAGAAATTGATTGATTCTGGAAGCCTTTCATGTAAACATGTTTAAAGCTAAATCTATGATCATGCATTCATCCAACAAGTTTTTCACGAAGAGCCAAGGTTTTTCCATTGAGTTTGGGTCTGCTGATTAGAGTTTTGTGGGTTTTCTTGCATCCTTAAAACCTTTAGAAGATACCTTACTCTTCAACTCTGCAGTTACAAGGGTATATTGGCAGGTGTATCGGCAATTCTAGTTCTAAATTTTCATCTCATTATGCTCTTACAGAATAATTTCCATAAGGTTTTACCTGGCACAAGAATCGGCATTCCATTGGGAGGCCATCCCTGCACCCCACCCCATGCTAGGATCCCCAGCATCCCCTGCATGGCTCTTTCCTTATCTGGTCCTGTGTTCTGAGTTTGCTAGTCTCCTCCTCAGTCAGGCTGTAAGCACCTAGCCCACGGGCACGATGTCTTGTACTGTTCCCAGCCTATCATACAACTGCTTTCACACCACAAGTGCTCCTTACATATTTAAGTAATGAATGTCCCTGTCTTTCATAGCTATTGCTATGAATAACTATTGTTAGGAGTATCGTAAGAATGACTTGGGACTAGAGTCCAGTAGCCTGGAGTTCCCTCCGTGTTCTGTTTTACAGTCAGGAAGGATAATCCATATTTTACCTGCCGGTGCCATTCAGTAGGAATTCCTGCAGCAATCCAGACTTTCTTTACCCACTCTCTCCAATGCAGTGGCCACTAGCTGCACGTGGCTATGGAGCACTTGAAATGTGGCTAGTACGACTGAGGAATTAAATTTAATTTTACCTAACTGTATTG
The DNA here is from genome assembly GCF_000001405.40 of Homo sapiens. NCBI lineage: Eukaryota > Metazoa > Chordata > Mammalia > Primates > Hominidae > Homo > Homo sapiens. Next base: position 7,546 of record NT_187557.1, read on the forward strand.
AATTTAAACTTACAGTCACATGTGACTAGTGGCCACAGCCTTGGGCAGAAGGGATCTAGACTAATTGCCTTGTTTTCCAAGTGGGAAAACCGGGTCCCAGGCAGTTAGATGATTGGTTAATTTTACTACTAAGTAGTCAGAGACCATCAAACACTCCAATAATGATATCATGAGGATCTGTGGGTTGGTTACTGGGGTTAATTTGTACCCTACAAGGAAAGATATAAAGTATTTATGCTTCTTTTAATACGTTTGAAGAGACGATTATAAGATTCTTTCTCAACTTTATGCTGGCCTGGAAATGGCCTTTCAGAATGCTCTGAGTTCCCATTTTAGAATGGACATTAGAGATTTTAAATTTGATCTATATTGTCTATATTTCATTAAACAGAAAATCAAGACCATTGTTAAAATAAGTTTGGAAATCACAAAGCTGTCAAGTATAAGGACAGTGTAGTTTGTGCTGTGTAGTTTGAAGGAAATCTTTCATGCTTTGATCACGTGCATAGTTCAAACTGGAGACTCAAACCGCATAATCCAGCAAGATCTCCTGGAGAATGAACAGTATCAGGTGCACACACAATCCTCCAGGACATTTCGTGCTAAACTATGTGAAAGTGGCAGAATAACTAAAAATCTTGGAGTCTTCTTTTAAACTAAAAGAGAAAAACCCTGAAAGCCAAGTGGAAAGAAAAAGCATTCATTGGAGATTAAAATTCGGATGTGAAATTGAGAGGAAAATGTTAACACCACAGCTTCCCTTCACGTCCTTATCATTTCTTTAAGAGAAAAGCAAGAAAATTTAAGGAGAAAATGTGTGGGGAAGATGCAGGAAGGACACGAGGTGGTGGCTTTGTACAGTTTCACCTTCAACTTGAATGGAGAGCACTCTGCGTATGTGTGTTATTTACAGATACACATCTGTATTGGCCTTAAGTGTAGCACCCTCAGTTAAAATAACCCATTTCTCTTCACAAAGTTACGCTGAAACCAGGAAAGCCTTGGAGAGTTGGTATTAAAATGCTGAGAATCCGGCAGACCTGAGTGTTCCGAGGAGGTGCGTCTTTCCTTGTAAAGCTGGCCCATAGCTGCTGTCAACATACCTGGGACACCAATTTAAAAAGGAAAAAGGAAGTGGTCAAAGTCATGCTTTTTGCAGACTTCAAAGGTGATCCCTCCCTCCCCCTCTTTACATTTTACTGTCTGGGAGCTGACGGGTCTGCAGCTGTTGGCAGAGGCTGTTCTGGGCGTCAAACCTGCCTCCTCACGGCCCATAAAACTGCAGCGGGAACCGGAGCAGGTGTGGGCGGGGCGGGCAGGACGCCCTTCAGGGTCTCCCTGACATCCCATGCTGTGTGGGTGGGGGGAGGGAGGCTTGTGGGGGCTTCCCTGTGGGGTCCTCCCTTTCCACAGCCAGGGCGTTGGGGTAGCTGCCCACCCAGTTGCTGAGGGAGCTGAGGCCTCTGCAGCACAAGTCCACCAAGACTTGGGCCCCCAAAGGAGGACCGCGGAGAAGCCAAAGTAACCCAGACACTTGGTAATCCACGTTTTTGGTGTTTTGTTGTTTGTTTTATAAGCCTTAAACAGCAGCAAGTACTAGAACAAAACACCTCTACAATCTACAAGTCCGGGTTCTTTTCCTCCTCAAACTGGGAGAAAGAAATACAAAATCAGACTTGTTTTCAAAGATGTCAGATATCTATTGGCATTTAATAGTAAGAATGCGATACATTTGCCCTTTTTCTTTTCTTCACGCGATAGAACAAATCAGTAGTTATAGAATGCCTCTTAGTCGATTGCAATGAAAAGTTGCAAATCACAGCTCATTATGGCTTCTTGTTTTGTGCCAGTATTTTAGAAGGGAAAAAACAGAAAATCAATTTACTTAAAGCAATCTTAAAAATGTCTTTTTTTAATTACACTCATTGAGAAATACGCACACTTCTTTAAAGAAATGGAAAAGCAAGCGGAAGTGGCCTTTTGCAAAAGACAGAAAGAGGGAAGAGGGAAAGGACCATCCAGGTCTGAAGAGCAAGAGAATCAGGCCTGCAACATTAATGAAGCCCCACTGTGTGCCAAGTAGTGGGTGCTTCACGGCATTGGGGCAGGAGGGGAGGTAGGAGTGAGGGCAGTGAAGGAAAAAAACATGAAGGAATTATTAAAAGTCCTGTTTTGTTTTGTTTTTTCCCTCAAGGGTATTACTTTATAATGGAGATGCCCAACAAATAAACACAAAATGGACTTAAATACATTTTAAAAATCAGCAGCCAATAATTTATTTTATACCCTTCAATTATTTTCGCTCTTTACTATAATGTTTGCATGATACATAACACTGCTTATCGAGGTCATAATTTCGATAATTGTTTCTATCGGGTTCCATACTTTAAAATCTGCGGAAAACTGATGGGGGTTGGGGTTTAGTGACCCCTGAGAACATTTCTATTAAGATTGATAGAAAACACGGCCGGGCGCGGTGGCTCACGCCTATAATCCCAGCACTTCGGGAGGCCGACGAGGGCGGATCACTAGGTCAGGAGATCGAGACCATCCTGGCTAACACGGTGAAACCTCGTCTCTACTGAAAATACAAAAAAAAATTAGCCGGGCGTGGTGGCGGGCGCCTGTAGTCCCAGCTACTCGGGAGGCTGAGGCAGGAGAATGGGGTGAACCCGGGAGGCGGAGCTTGCAGTGAGCCGAGATAGCACCACTGCAGTTGGCCTGGGCGACAGAGCGAGACTCCGTCTCAAAAAAAAAAAAAAAGAAAAAAGAAAACACACACACACACACACACACACACACACACACACACACCACCACCACCATTCGGAATTGAAATAACCCTTTCAATACTGTAGAATTAGAAGAAACTTTAAGGCCGGACGTCGTGGCTCACGCCTGTAATCCCAGCACTTTGGGAGGCCGAGGCGGGCGGATCACGAGGTCAGGAGTTCAAGATCAGCCTGGCCAAGATGGTGAAACCCCATCTCTACTAAAAATACAAAAAAAATTAGCTGGGTGCGGTGGCAGGCGCCTGTAGTACCAGCTACTCAGGAGGCTGAGGAAGGAGAATCATTTGAACCCGGAGGGTGGAGGTTGCAGTGAGCCGAGATTGTGCCACTGCACTCCAGCCTGGGTGACAGAGTGAAACTCCATCTCAAAAAAAAAAAAAAAAAAAAAGGATGAAACTTTAAAATGTTATCATTTGGTAAACATTTTCTGAGAATCTACCATATGTCAGGCATTGGCTAGGATTGTGACACATAAGGATTAAACATAAAATAGAGTGTAGTTTAAACAGAAGACATTTTAAACACAATGTAGTTTAAAAGACACATGAGTTGTTTCAATTTATTTTCCCATAATTTAAGTCCAGTAAAGAGAATCACAAAGCTAATATCCACAAAGATTAGAGGTCTGAAAACTACATTCTAGTGGCCAAATCTGTGACTTTTTATATTTTTTAAGTTGTTAAAAAAGGAAAGAAAGAAGAGGATCAACAACAGAAACTGAATGTGGCCTTCAAAGTCTGTAATGATGGCTCTCTAGCCCTTTCCAGGAAATGTTTGCCTAGATTATAAGAACATCTAGAACAAAGCCACACTTCAGCACATTCTTCTCTTCTTATTCTCCAAGTTTGCAGAGTGTCAGATATTTTGGGCTTCTCTATTTAATTTAAATTAATTTTAAACTTATTTCAGAATTCCTGGCTTAGTATTTATTATGGAGTGTATTTCTTAATGAAGAAATCGGTATATTACACATTTCAACAGTATTCAAACTCTATTGATTTCTGAAACCTCTCTGTGACCACTTTCCAATGCTAACCTCTTCCTACCCAAATATTTTTACACGGTTAAAATAACATATATTGGGTCATCCACATTCTTAAGGATCGTGGTTTCTAATTGCAGTCAAGTCATTACGATTGTTTCATTTGGAGACAAGACTAGTTTTCTGGTGTAATTGAAGACAGGGCTTTAATCAGCAAAATTGTAATCCTAGACCATAAAATTAAGCCTGTGCACTCTAATAAAATATATGGTTAAGCAAAATTTCATATTATGTCAATTTCTACAAGGAATAAACAATGCAGCCACTTTGATGTCCACAGATCAATCTACATGCTCGTCTTTTGATCATTTATTTGGATACAGTAAACTACTCATATGCTGAAATTGGAATTTTCAGAATTTTTACTTCATACATCCTACATTACTTTTAAGCATATTTAGAATGAATGGAAATGTATACATCATGAGAAATTCAGGCAAAACAAATCAACCTGGATTTATTTAATGCATATAAGAGAATCTGAAAAAAGAAAATCACACCAGAAAATTTATTTTGTATTTTCCTCATTTTATGGATTGATTATATGTTTGCTCAATGTAAACATAACAAAAGCATGTTTTCTTGGAACTAGGCAAAATAAAAGTTTGATCCTTGATCTAAGTAGAGGATACAGTTAGTTCCTAAAACCAATGACTCCATTTGGCTTGTGCCCATTTGAGGTCATTAATGCCATTTGTACTACACAGGGCCGCAGCCTCATCTCCCAGCTGGCTGGATCCAACAGAGACAGGCAGGAGATGTATATTACAACTTACCTCCACGACCAGTAGGATCTGACTAAGTGCATTTTTCCTGCTACAGTTAGGCAACTGCACGTAAAACCCCCAACCAAAGTTATACAACAGCAACAACAACCCATGTTGTTTCTAAATCTGCATAATTGCAGGCAATTTTGTCAGCTACAACTATACATTTTCCAAAGTATATGTCTTCCAATCCCTCGGCATAGAACTTAGGAAGACAAATTCCTATAGCCCAGTGGATTCTGCCCAGTTGCAAAGTTCCGGGGCAGACATGCTTCAAAATAGATATGGTTCACAGAAGATGAGTGGAGGATTTGAGGACAAAGGAGGTTTACAGGTTTCCTTCAGTGTTCCAACCCATTTGGGAAAAAGAAATATTGAGGCGCGTGAATGTAACTTTCTTTCACTTAAAATAAAAAGGCTTAAGTGAGAATGGTGCCTTCTACCTTGACGGGCCAAGCAGCTGAACTCCCTCTCAGCAAGAGCTTTCTGTCCGTGGAGGCTGGGCTTCGAGCCACTCCAGGAAGGAGACGCTGAGATGCTGAAGCCCTGCATGAGATCTGACTTGACGGCATCCCTCTGTGGCTCACCAACCAAGCTCGCATCCCTCTCCCATAGGAAAGAATAAAACTGTGCCGGGATCCAGGGGATGTAAAGCTGTTTTTCAAATTGTGAAATGCTCACAGAAAGTGGCTGTGTCATCTGAATACTGCGTTTATTCTGAAGAACGACAAAATTATAAGAAGAGACACAGTGTCATGTTCTCTATTATTTTCACTTCTTTACTTCATATTCCTACCAGAAATTCCAAACTTAACATCGCTATCATTTTTTTAAATGAAATAATTTGAAGATATAAGAAAGGAAGCGACCCTATTTAATGAGTGGTAAGTTTGTGAGAGGAGCTTTATATAACTTAATTTGATTCGCTGAACTCTTCAGTAACCCTGTGGGGTGGGAATTATTGCTCCCATTTTAAGGATGAGAAAACTGAAACGTGGAGAAATAGACTTACCTGAGGTTTGCAACAAATAATTGAGAGAACCAGGATAAAAACTCAACATTTGGCTGACTCAGAATTACTTGAAAATATTGCATGTCACAGTTTAAATATTTTCCAATAAAGCTAAGAAAGTAAAGTGCTTTGAGGCATAATTGTGAATATCCTGTAAGCAGTAAATAAGCTTTAAAAAGTATATTTTTTCCTACTTCTCTATTCATGTCTTGATTGAATCGAATCAATATTTTGACCATTCACAATGAGCGAGAATGTGTCTGAGCAGTCACTAACCTCTCTGAGAAATGCAGTAATAAATCTGCAGTTCCCACAGAGAGGTCCCACAGTGTCATTAATAATAGTAACAGCTGACCAGGCGCAGTGACTCACACCTGTAATCCCAGCACTTTGGGGGACCAAGGCAGGGGGATCATGAGGTCAGGAGTTCGAGACCAGCTTGACCAACATGGTGAAACCCCATTTCTACTAAAAATACAAAAATTAGCTGAGCATGGTGGTGCATGCCTGTAATCCCAGCTTCTCAGGAAGCTGAGGCAGAAGAATCACTTGAATCCAGGAGGCAGAGGTTATAGTGAGCCGAGATCGCACCACTGCACTCCAGCCTGGGCGACAGAGCGAGACTCCATTTCAAATAATAATAATAATAATAGTAACAACTTTACATTTATAAGACGTTGCCCCACGTATTATCACATGCCGTTCTCATAGCCCAGTTTGGTGGTTAGGACTTCATTCATTCATTCACCCATTGTACTTTAGATATTTATTTCATTCCTATGAACTCAGCCTAGGACTGTGCAGGCCTTCGGAAGGGAGAGATAAAAAGATCTATTTCTAGCCTAAAGCCACTCACTGTCTTGTATGAGGGCCACTGATGAAACGAAAACACAAGGTAAGTGAAAACACTCTCCATGTTGAAAATACATAACCTAATCAGTATTCTCAAAAGAAAATAAAGTATTCGACACATAGAGCCCACCAGTTTGAGACATGGTAATAGGTACCTGTTTTTCCTTCATTATATAGCCTTTATTCCTTCCATTTTAATACCCATAAATTGGTTCTAATATTGCTCACGAAAAGTGTATTACGTAGAGAGGTAAGTCATTTCTCTCAAGTCACCAAAATGTTCTTCATGGCAAAGGAAAAAGGTTTCCTGAAATGGACCTTTTTTTTTTTTTTTTAGACGGGGTCTCGCTGTCGCCCAGGCTGGAGTGCAGTGGCGCTGTCTCGGCTCACTGCAAGCTCCGCCTCCCGGGTTCACGCCATTCTCCTGCCTCAGCCTCCTGAGTAGCTGGGACTACAGGCCCCCGCCACCAGGCCCAGCTAATTTTTTTGTATTTTTAGTAGAGACCGGGTTTCACCGTGTTAGCCAGGATGGTCTCGATCTCCTGACCTCGTGATCCGCCCGCCTCGGCCTCCCAAAGTGCTGGGATTACAGGCGTGAGCCACCGCGCCCGGCCTTGAAATGGACCTTTTAACCCGACACATCCCTCCCCCACAAAAAAATAAAATGAAAAGGAAGTGAACTTTCAGCGATTATCTTTGAAAGTCACACGTTCTCACAAATACGCCTGTAGATGGTGCTGTACTGAGCATTCTCTTTCGGATGCAATGACCACAGTCAGAAAACTTGTCCTGTTTCCAGCACAGTAGGGTGACCACATCCTCCTACTTTGGGCATGAGCTGTGCTCAGAAAACATGTCATGTGAACAAAAGCATCAGACTGGGGTTGGGGAGGAGATCGTCTCCCTCCTTGGAGCTGATCAATGCATGCATTGGAACCAGCGGTGGGGGTCCCAGTAACCCCCTTTCCACCCAAGTGATCATCACCGTGACGCATCTCGGGAGTGGGATCCAGTCTGAAGAATCCTCGTCCCTGAGAAGTTTTAAATCTAGAAGCTGATGATCAGGGCTGACGATGAAGAGTGTGTGTGGGTAGAAAGAGGGAGGACGCTGCTTAGGGAAAGCTGAACGAACGTAAAATAATGTGGATTGACGAGGTGAGAGGGGCTTTCACCTGGCCAACCATAAGAAGTACGGGTGCTTGGGACAGAGGAGTCCCAGCTGCCAGGCTGAGCCCAGGGGCGCGTGCCTGGCTGCAGACGGCCAGCCTGGGTGGCTGTGGAAGGAGAACGGTGAAGTCCACCGAGCCAGTGCTCATGTCCTGTTCAAAGACTCAGTTGTGTCTGAGGGAACTTCAGAGAAGAGCAAGGATTTCACCACTGGATCCACCCGGGAGGGTGTGTGGAAGAAGTGGGGTCAGAGCGGCTGAAGGGGAGACCTAGGCAGGTAGAGATGGGAATGGGGACAGTAGAGGCAGAGACTGAGTGGGAAATGCAGGAACTCCTAGGGGTGGTTGGAGGAACTGCCCCCCCCCCACCCCCTGCCCACCAGCCGCCGCAGCGGAGCTGGGAGAGTTGTTCCATGGCCACAGGACAGAAGGTCTTGAACGCTAGGTTTGACTATGTCTTTAAACAGCCTTAATTTATCTTATGCTCATGATTCTGAAGATGACAACAAGGTGAGGTCACCTTCGTCATTCAGAAACTGCATGTAATAAAATAAAATGAAAAGCATTGCCAAGGAAATTAAGATTCCCTAGAAAACCCCCTAATCTTTTCATTACTTCATCAAATGTTTCTTAAATGCCAGGACCTAGTCTAGACTGGGGATATACAAGTAGAAATAAACACTAAAGAAGATAAATAAATAAAATGTGAATTACGTTAGATGGTGATAAGTGCTAAGAAAGGAAAGTGAGGCAGCAGAAGGCACTGCAGGCTGGGGAGAGTGTGGAGGTGGCATGGATGAGCTGCAGGTGCCACGCAGTCTGAGCCTTTTCTGCAAAGACCCCAGGAATTGAGAGGTTAGCGGGGGGCATCTGGGGAAGGGGTTCCAGATAAGGGGCGCAGGTGCAAAGGCCCTGGGCTGGAAGCACGCCCAGGGCTCCGAGGTGCGAGGGGGCTGCTATGGCAGGGCAGAGAGAACAAGGAAAGACAGCTAAGGGGGACGAGGCTGTGCGGCCTGGAAATGAGAAGCTGGGGCTCCGGCACAGAGACAGTTGCCAGGTCACCTGAGGAGGGGCGAACGCCGTGTTTCTAACTGCAGCTCAGCACCATTGTAGACTTACTTCTGCTTGTCTTACACAATAAGGAAATCGTGTTCCTTCCTCGTCACAAAGGGACTTAGCAAGTTTGTTTTTGGAAGTCACAGTTGTGGCAAAACCCTCATGAGGCCCTCCATCCCTGGGGGAAGACTCCTGGAGGAAATGCGTAGGCGGGGATTCCACAGGGACGGTGAGACCCTGGGGTCCCCATCACTGACGGAGCACATGAGGGGGGTCCCTTCAAGCAGCCCAAGCCAGCCTAGGGTCGGGGGTTTCTCCAAACACAGACCCTGAAACAATGAATTTTCTCAGGTACCAGCACCCAGGGCAGCCGGCCCTGAAAATGCTGGGTAGGGACCGGAGACACCCCTCAAGGTCCTGCGCCTTGGCTCGACCCTGAGGAGGTGAAGGAGGAAAGCAGGGTTGGAGGCCACTTAAGAGCCCTTCTCTCCGCGAGGGGAGGCCCAACGTGGCTCTCATGGGCTCTCTGAGATTTGAGAGTAGGAGCTAAGAGCAGCGTGGCTTGGAGGAGATCACAAAAGGAGACAGAAAAGGTGGCCTCTGCTCTTGTAGTCATCAGAATCGCCAGGTCCTGGGGGAGTCTTAAGCTCCCTAAAATCTGCATTTTGGCTACTCAGGAGGCTGAGGCAGAAGAATCGCTTGAACCCGGGAGGCAGAGGTCGCAGTGAGTCGAGATGGTGCCACTGCACTCCAGCCTGGGCGACAGAGTGAGACTCTTGTCTCAAAAACAAAAACAAAATCTGCATTTTGGTGTTTTACCTAGAAAAGCCAAGTCTGGTTAACAGAAATGAAAATGTCTTAGGAATTGCCTAACCAACCGCAAGTGCATTTGGCAAAATGGAATCCACTTGAAACCCGAAGTGAAGTAACTCGAAGTATTTACAAGCCAAGGCAAATGTTCAAAGGGAAGCTCAGACACAAAGAACAGATGGCGGATGAGAAAGCCAGAGAAGAGTGCATTTTGCCAACACCCACAAAATGCAGATTTTTTAAGTGCCTTGAAGGCTGTTTATGGTCTAAGCACCCAGGAATCTACGCCCTTAAGCTCCAGGGACAGAAGAAACTTGCTTGAAATGTGGTCACTGCATACTGAAAGGGATGATGTTCTGTCCTCTCCCCAGGGAATCCTATTTTTCATGAAAACCTCACCTCTGTCTATCTTTTACGCCAATCAGACCTTTTCCACCTTTTTAAAATAGAATGAAAAAGAGAGGAAGCTATAAACAACTGATGATCCGCCTGCTGAAATCACAAGGAAAATATGAAGAGGGCCACCTCTCTCCTCTCTCTTCTCAGGGGTTTGCCTAAACCCTCAGGGACCTTGTGGCTACACAAATTTCTTTAAAGGTCCAATTGTAGGAGCTCCTGAAAGAGTGCTGCATTGTTTACCTTGCAGGACATCTTTGCAGAAATAGTTCTAACCTTTATTGTACATTTAGTGAAGAGTGTTAGCACATGTTGAAGGACACCTACAGTGAAATGAAGGAAAATAGAAACAGAGAATTGCTGGTAGTCAACCAGAGAGGAAATAAACAGACAGAATGTATTTTCATGGAAATGTTCTCATTAGCTCTTATTTCTGATTCCTTAGATACTTTCTCATATCGGAATGTTTTGTTGAAAAACAGTGAAATCAAATGCACGCACATTATCACATTTAAAAACTGATCCGCTGCTCCTTCTGAAATTCAAATCAAGTTTTCATATAATAGACGCTTAAAAATTACCAAAATTTAGTCACTTGAGAAGCTGGCTTATCTGTTTCTCTCTCACAGAATCTCTTTAGGTGTCTGTTGTAAAAACACAAATGAATGTTTTTTAATGGATGGATGGATGGGAGGATGGGTGGACGGGTGATGTGTGAATAACACTCTCACATATAGAACAATATCCCCTCCTAATAGGGAAGACACAAATAATACACAAGAAGTTTCATCTTCATAGAGAAAAGACATTTCCATACACAACCTCAGTATCACAGAGGCTAATTACGTGGTGTAAGTTAATTGCACACAAACGTACAATTAACATCTTAGGAAAGAAAGCTATGTTTCACCACATTCAGTCCCAGTTTAATCATCGAGTTGATAAATACCCCTAGGAATTCAAAGCCACAGTGCAGAGTCTATGTCCCTGCCCCTGAGATGTGGCTGCGAAGGTTCTTCTTGATTGAGGCAGACAGAAGATTGGTTCTGGGCAGGACCCCTGGGCGTGTAAACAAGATCAAATGCTCCATTCTGAGGATAGGGGAGCTTCCAGATCCTGGCTGGGATGCACCTCATTGCAATTCACAAAAATAAAACACCTCTTATTTGGAGGTATTATTATGCATTTCAACATGTCTGGAATTAAAAATGTATTTTCACATATGTATTTAGTAACTGATACAACTTTTTGCCAATTGAATAAATATAGTCTGTGTATCTATCTAGAGTCTCAGCATATAACAAATGCCTACAAAAAATAGTTACCCAAAAGGTGCTGTTATTTTGTACCAATTTTAGAGAAGTTATCTTAGGTTCTTGAAAATTTCCTTGTACATGGATATTAGTGATTGACAATATTTGTAAAACAGCACTAATTAAACAAAAACCATATTATTTATTGCTTCTGAGTATCTAGGTATGCTTTCAGACCAGCTGACTTGTCAAAATAGGGAGGGACAGGCTGTCAATAGATTAGAAAGGTATTAGAAAAGTTGAACCAATATGTGTAATTTCAGTTTCATTCAAAACTAGGCAAAGTCAAATTAGTTATATTTAATATAACTGTAATTGTTTTGTCTTTTCATTTTTGAAGTTCAAAAGGTTCTGATTCCCAATAGATTAATAACATATTATTTTCACTTACATTTAAGGAAAATGAAGATTTCAGCATTAACCATCCACCAAAAACAAATGCGTGGTGTAATTGAGTTGAATGACCGAAACTTCACTGCTAAACTCTAAAGGCTTCAAAACTGTGAAAAATAAATAAAAATGAAAATTTAAAAGATGTGAAAAATGAAAAGAAGTGAAGAATGGCCAGATATAAGAATCTTCCTACCATTTCTTTTTTTTTAGACTAAGTTTTATTGTATGCTGCTGCCAGTGTATATAAAACAATTACCCTTGTGAAATAGAAATTCATGGAAATTCAGAGAGGTAGGTGTTAAGGACTGACGAAAAGAGAAGTTTGTATATTATGGAACATGTGTTACGGGGTCAGCTTTTGTACAGGCTTCAAATTTAGCTCTCTTTTGAATATTCGCTCGATCATAAGACACCAATAACACACAAACAGTTTCATCTTCATAGAGAAAAGACATTCCCATACACAACCTCAGTATCACAGAGGCTAATTACGTGGTGTAAGTTAATTGTACACAAATGTACAATTAAAAAAAAAAGTTTGGGAAACTTTTGAAAGATTCATTTTACTACAAAAAGGAATAGAATTTCTGGGTCTGAAAGGATTTGTATTTGAAGATATTCCAGTCAGTAGAGGGTCATGTTGAGCATTCTGCAGACAATTGTTTAAAGTCTGCAGCTGCCTGGGAAACTTTAACACGGTTGAGTTCAGCCTCCAGCCTGAGCTGTTGAACCACTTTCTTCATAGCTGCGACGCTGGAGGAAGCCAACATGGTGCATGTGAGGTCTGGGCCGATTCGTGGGTTGCTGGATCGTGGGTCATAGGGGGCCAGAAAATGGAGAGCATTCTCACATTCCTACCATGGGCTGGACGTTTCCAAAGCAGGCAGAAATTCTTATTCCTAGCATCCTAGACCCAGTGTTACCATAGCTTGTTTTTTCCTTCCATCCTTACTGAAAACATTTGTAGATATCCCGTCCATAGGAAAAATGAAGGAATCCTCCCTCCAAATTAAGGGCCTTGTTACTGAAGAAAGTCAGAGAGGGATGGGGAGGGACAGACCGACAGATGATTAGAGACAGGGGAAGACGGAGAAAGATAGAGGGAAAGAGAGGGAGATGCACAGACTGAAAGAGAGAGACAGAGTGGGGAGGTGGAGAGTGGGAGAGAGAGAGAAAGAGAAAGGGAGGAAGGTGAAAGGGCGGGGAGGGAGGGAGGGAAGCGGCGAGAGGCCCTCTGAAGCCATTTTGACATAGTGGAGTCCACCCAGCTCACAGCAGAGTGAGGCCCCGTGATCGAGCCCTGGGAGAAAAGACCCTCCCCTTGAGCCCCAGCCACCCCTTCAATACACAGCGCTGTTTGTCGCCACCAGGCTTCCGGGCCTGCTGTTACACAGCAGGAGACAACTGAAGCCCGCAATTGCTCCAGCCCTTGTCCTAGGACAAGACTACTTGGTGTGTGCTGGGGAGAAGGGGCGGCAGAGACAGTGAATTCGACAAAAGGCAAGCCTGGCCTGGGCCTGGGTAGGCATAGATGTGGTGAGAAGTGGGAGGAGAGTGGGAGAGAGGTGCAGACAGGTATGGCAGTGTGGTTCATGTACGTAAATAAATGTGCAGAGCCTATCGATGGCTTTCCCTGCGTGTCTCTGCAAGGAGGGCCCACATGAGTTGCTGACAGATGGCCTGATTAAAAAAAGACGAGCCACGGACTAAGCCGGCCTTACAATTTGACAGCTCAACTTAACTTCCTCGAAAGAAGCGGCACAAATGTGGCTCAGACCCCACCGTCAGCAGGTGCACAGCCCTCAGAGTCAGGAGGCAACTTGTTCTCTTGAGAGCTGTGAGGTGTCACCTGTCACCTGAGAGCTCACAGGTAATTAGGAATTCCTTACAGCACCATGCACAGGGCCTGAGATCCTAGGGCAGGCAGGAAGGAGGCTTCCCACGGCAGAAAGGAAAGGCCACTCTTCGCGATGCTTCCAGAGTCATCCAGCAGTCTCTTGGAAATGAATACTGGTCTGTTTCTTTTTACAAAACTGGCAGTGGGTTCAGTTTCTTCCTCCCATGCTCAAGAGACAATTTCTATGGGCTTGCCCCTTCTGCCCACAGAGAAGCCTCAGCACGAGAAGGGAGGGGCCCTTAGGTGGGTGTGTTGGGAACTTCAATCTGTGAACAGCTACCAAAAGCCAGACCCATTTCTGACTGTCCTGGGCTCTCCTGCTGGGATGGCCCCTGCTCCTACTTAGGCAGGTGGCCAGGTTTGCTCAAGTCAGAGGGAGCTGTCAGAAGAAGAGAGACTTCTCCCAGCAAGCCCCTGCTGCCCCCTCCTCACATCTCTTGGTCAAACTCTGGGGCCCCAGACCCACAGTGCACACTTCCAGGCAACTCCACCTGCCTCTCTGGGGAGCATCGGTCATTCATCCCGAATCCATCATTCATTCAAGGAATCTTTATTGAGCGCCCCCTACGTGCCCAGCAACACTCTGCTCACTCGATATCTGAAAAGAGTTTGTCTGTTTGAAGAGTTGGAAAACTGCAGTCAAACCCTGGCTTTCACATGAGCAAGTCTGTAAAATTATCCAGCATGCTGTGTTCATCCCAAAACCGCCCTCAGAGGTCCCTGAGCCTCTCACAAACCCCCTTTTAAGAAACTTCTTCTCTTCTATGATTTATAAAATGATTTTTAGCTGGGCGCTGTGGCTCACGCCTGTAATCCCAGCACTTTAGGAGGCTGAGGCGGGCGGATCACTTGAGGTCTGGAGTTCGAGACCAGCCTGGCCGACACGGCGAAACCCCTTCTCTACTAAAAATACAAAAATTAGCTGGGTGTGGTGGCGGGCATCTGTAATCCCAGCTACTCAGGAGGCTGAGGCAGGAGAATGGCTTGAGCCCAGGAGATGGAGGTTGCAGGTAGCCAAGACTGTGCCACTGCACTCCAGCCTGGGCAACAGAGTGAGACTCCGTCTCAAAAAAAGGAAAAAAAATGTTTAAGTGCTTTATTTTCCTTTCCAATCCTTTTTTCCTCCCCTTCTGCCCGCCTTTCTCTTTCTCTTCTCCTCACTCTCCTTTGCTCTCTTGCAGCAGTGTTCATGCAGCGCCTGTCTGGTGCCAGTTCTGAAGCACACACTGCAAAGATTAAGAAGATGGGTCTCAGCTGATTGGGAGTAGAGCACAGCATCTTCAGAGAAGGCCACGGAAGTCCTCCTCAAGGTGTCCAAGTGTCCTCCAAACATTAGCCACTGTTGTTATTAATAAAGGAATTTAAGACCGAAAAGACCTATGGAGGATTCAGGAGTCCAGGGGCCTGTATTACACAGAAGAGTTAAGAGGGTGATTCACACACCCGTGAAGATGAGTCTCCTCCCTCATCCTCCCCACACTGGGTCCATAAGAGGTGCTCCTGAGCAGTTTCACCTCATAACCCACAGGCTTAGATTTGGTGCTGAGGTAGCCAGGGTCAGCCCTAGTGCAGAGTAGAGCAGCTTAATTTCAGATGAATTTTTCAGTGGCCATTGCTCACTAGGTGCCTGGACAGGTCAAACCGTTTTCCACTTGTGAACAAGCATCTCAAAGCCAGTCCCCCCGCAGCTGACTGGCAGGTGTGCTCTGCCGTCTGCTTTTGGAAACAAGCCCTCAAGTGAATTATTTAAAGTCAGACAGCCTACTATTAGCAGACCTAAAGGAGGAACTCCTAGCAATTAATTAAATCCTGATATTTAACCCCCTGAGCTGAGCTAGTGCCTGTAGGGCAAAGGTGCTCAAACTTCAGGCTGCGTCGGAATAACCCTGAGAGCTTGTTAAAAAGCAGACTGCTGGGCCCCAACCCCGGAGTTTCTGGTTCAGTAGGTCTGGGGTGGGCCTGGAAATGTGCACTTCTAGCAAGTTTCAGGGGCTTCTGCTGACCCTGGATCAGTGTATCACACAGGACCGATAGATTATTGTCCCTGATTATGGTGAATAATATGGCCCAAAACACTTAAGAAACCTCCAATTTTCTCAAACTAGCACATCTGTGTACCTAATTATCCATGTGTCGTCTCTCTGTGTGTGAGGCCACGTGCTCTCCACGAAGACAGGTGAGTGGAGACCAAGACACAGAGGTGCTGCTATGACCGCAACTGCACCCACCTTGCAGAAAGCGCAAAGCTTCACTTTACAGCAAAAATACCAGCAATCTCCTCCCAGACTTTCAGAGCAGTTCCCAACAGGTAAGAGCAGGACCCTTCTGTCTGGGAAAGGCAGATCCATGCCTACACCTTATTTGGCAATACAGAAGTATCAATAAGATAATCATAAGTATTTAGAGAGTGATCAAAAGTGCCCTCCCAATATAGTTCAACAAAGAGCCCAAAATTTGACTTTGAAGGAGTCATTTCCACAGTGGACAGGTGTTTAGTTTTTTGTGCCCAACCAAATCTCGTGTTTCCGCTGGCAGTGCCACTGAAATGCATGCGTTTCTGGAAGGTGAAACGTGGCCACTCCTGTGGGACCCATGCTGCCCTGGCCAAGTTGCTCACAGTCCACGAAAGCCAAGCCGGCTTCCGCATCTCAAGGGCATTGGCTTCCGCAGCTCAAGGGCATTCTCTCCAGGACTTTTTGAAGTTCAAGTAATTCCGCAGATCCAAGGCTTATTGGTTAAATTTCATCCAGCACCTCATGACAGCGGCTGAAGTCACATTAACTTCAATCACATCAGTGACAGAAGCCACAGCCTTGTGCTGCTGCATGGTTTTAGACAGAAACCATGAAACTGCACCGGCAAAAAGTGTAAAACTATACGCACTGGGTCCGCAGATAGAGGTGTGAACCTCAGAGGGGCTGGCCCCGTTCCGCTCTTACTTTCTATTTTTCTTTCATTTTCTCCATTGTCATTTCTCCAAAGCAGGGCTGTCTACGCTTCATTGTCCTGCCTGTTGACAAATTGTTAAAGCAATTGCCTTACATTCATTTTAGATTTAATTTCCAGTGGCACTTTTCCTTTTCATGTTAAAGTCTTGCCTCATTTCAGTTTTATTTTTTCCTCACCTTTTTGTGAACAATCTCCTCCTTCAGTCAGCTCTGGACTAACAAGGTTGAACCAAAGATCTGTTTGCTTGGTGCAGGAAAACCACACGGGAGCCCTACAGCCTGCCCCGAGGCCGGCCCACATGAAAGCCCGGGGCTTCCTCACAGTTTGCTGTGAGCTGCACCAGCTCTCCTGGAGTGTGAAACCAATTTCCAAATTCACCTGAGGGTCCTTCTACAGAAAGGTTTTTGGTGAAAATATTTAGAATGTAGCAAAAAGCAATGATCAGAAGGGTATTTCAGATTTGAAAGTCACTTCATCTTCATTGTATTAATAAGTATTGATACTGGAATGGGTGGGCTCACAGTTACTGGTCACAAAGAAGAGCTTCTACGTGCCCCTGTATGATTTTGTGTTCTTCACTGTGTGGGAGGTGCAGCACATAGGCAGGTCTGAGCATTTTGGAGACAAACTAGGTTTGGAGACATCCACGCTGCTAACTGGATTCTCCTGGGCCAGAGTGTTACTGGATAGTCCTGTTTCCATTTCATCTGTGAAATGAGTTTGCTAAAAAATGGTAGGTATTTCACAGGCTTTGTGTGAGAACTGAGATAATCCGTGAGCAATTCTTGAAACAACATGATAAATACTTGGTGTTATTATTTTAGTCATCTGCCTTTAGCCGGGCTCAGTGTATCACACAGGACCTAGAGATTATTGTCCTAGCCCCTGCCTTGTTGCTTTGACACGAGGTAAGAACTACTTTCCTCCTTATTACACTGTTTTATGTAGGATACTTTGTCTTTTTCGTTTGTTCCCTACGGTTTTTTTCATAACAGTATTACAGATTGATCCCTGTAAAATAAGTCTTATTTAAATTTGGCTGTGGGCTTTTTAAATATAAAATCATGTGAACATCCCATAAAAACTATAACACTGAAAACTGTAGCATTACACATTAACAAGCACTTACACTCACATAGCGGCTTCTGGTTTAGGGACTCAGATAACATTCCAGTCATCTTCTGAATAGGGGGTTTTCTACGTAGTGTGCTTATTTCTCACATTGTGTGGTTTTATTTTTCTAGCTGCTTTTTCTCTCTAGATTATTACACATTCTGAATTGGAAGAAACATTACAGCCCTCCTAGGTGAACCTTCGTCACAAGACCAAAATCCTTTTATGGGGGGAGAGGAGGGAGCCTCCAGTTTAGGGTTACACACATCCAAGCTACCAGGGCTCAGCCTGGACCCAGGATACACCTTGAGTCCCTTTTTAAAACATCTCCCTAGTGCTGGGCACGGTGGCTCACGACTGTAATCCCAGCACTTTGGGAAGCCGAGGCAGGTGGATCACTTGAGGTCAGAAGTTCGAGACCAGCCTGCTCAACATGGTGAAACCTCGTCTCTACTAGAAATACAAAAATTAGCCAGGCGTGGTGGCGCACACCTGTAATCCCAACTACTGGGGAGGCTGAGGTGGGAGAATTGCTGGAACCCAGAAGGGGGAGGTTGCAGTGAGCCAAGATTGTGCCACTGCACTCCAGCCTGGGTGACAGAGTGAGACGCTGCCTCAAAAAAAATTTAAAATAAAATTTCCCTCGTATTGAACTGAACTTTAACTTCTTTGTAAATTATTCCCATTGGCCTTATTTCTGGTCTCTGATGCTACCTAGAATAAATACGAAATATATTTATTGGAATATTTCTTGCCTTAGCTCAGGCTACTGTAACACAATTTCACATGCTGGATGGCTTAAACAACAGAAATTTATTTTCTCACAGCTCTGGAGGCTGGAAGTCCAAGATCAGGATGTCAGCATGGTTGAGTTCTGGCGAGGGCCTCCTCCTGGCTGGCAGACAGCAGAGAACATCAGTCCCCTGTAAGGCCTCCCTCATGATCTCATTGAACCTTGTCACTGCCCAAAGGTGACCTCCAAATACCACCACATTGAAGATTAGGTCTTCGACATAGAAATTTTGGGGATGAGAAGGACACAGTGCAGTCCACAGCAGAATAGTCAATAAAACATGAAATAAGTATAAAATCCACATGCAAACCCCAGGTATTTCAGGCTACTTACACCTCCCCTTGGACCTTTCTTTCCAGGCTCAGATACACCTGCTTTAGTCTTTACTATGGGACAGCTTCTAGAGCTTTACCATCCAGCTGAGCTTTCATTCTTAAAAAGGACTACATTTTTCATCCTTGTTTTGAAACCTTCATGAAATTCCGTAAGTTGTCCACCAAAATCTATCCCATTCTTGCTAGCACTAAATACTTTTATAGCTATGTATATACCTATGGACAAATAAACTGATTTCAGTTCTTTGAATACAGAGGGGTAACCAAAAACCACACCAAAAATGCTTTAAAGTCTTTGATTTTTACAGAGATAATAAAGATGATTTCTTTCAAAAGCTTCGTATTTCTAACACTATTGGAGAAAACCACCTTTCCTAGCTTAATATGTAAGATTTATTTTGATTCAAAAGTGTTAACTGGAACTTCTGCCTCTAAAGTCACGACAGCATTTTGTCTTCTCTCTAGAGAACGCTGCACATTTGTAAATGAAACTTTCAGCCATGTTCAACCATCGGACAGACTGGCCCCCCCCAAATACCACCCTGTCTAGCAAATTGAGACTGTCACACCACATTCTTATTTTTTATTTTTTATTTTTGACGGAGTCTCACTCTGTCGCCCAGGCTGGAGTGCAGTGGAGCCATCTCCGCTCACTGCAAGCTCCGCCTCCCGGGTTCATGCCATTCTCTTGCGTCAGCCTCCCGAGTAGCTGGGACTACAGGCGCCCGCCACCATGCCCGGCTAATTTTTTGTATTTTTTAAGTAGAGACGGGGTTTCACCGTGTTAGCCAGGATGGTCTCAATCTCCTGACCTCGTGATCCTCCCACCTCGTCCTCCCAAAGTGCTGGGATTACAGGCGTGAGCCACCGCGCCCGGACCACATTCTCTTCTAAGGCAGGAATCATGCCTATCTTTTTGTACATCTTTGAAATGAAACTATGTGGATGATGCAAAATATTACTTTGCATGCAATTAGAATTTTTAAATGCCGGTTACACCAATCACTTTACTGAATGAATATTTTAATGCTAAGTGATGAAAAAGATGGAAACACAGTAGACATACAAAAATATTCCCTAAGAGAAATGAAAATATAATGTTAGATAACGCATTTGTCATCTATACGAGAAATCTCATCTGCTTTTCCTGGGGGAGCCCACTGTCCTTATCAGTGTGTACCACGGGCCTGGTTTCCTTCTCCTAGGAGCAGCCAAAAGCCAGGGTCCAGGATTAGACATTGCAAAGAGATATTTTAGCACCATCAAGAAGGCCGATTTGCTCATGTGGTAGTAGAACATTGCATTTGATATTATAAATTTTCATTAGCCTGTAAATAAAAAAGAATATAAATTCACAATGAGATATACTGCTTAATATTAAGGATAAAGCTTTAATAGTTAAACAATAAATTCTTCCTTTGGTGTAAAACTAGAAATGTATAGTCCTTTCAACTATGCAAGATTTATTTTGATATTTCAATATTCAATAACATTTTTATATGCATATATATAAAGATATACATCTGGAAAACTCTTTAAATTTATCATCATGTAAAAAATTTTATTGATGTGTTATTCATTCTTAGAATTCTAGAGAAAATTAACTTTTTTATGTTGATAAAGACATAAAGACATGTTTTTATATACAATTTATACATTCCATAATTATAGTAAATAATATTTGTAGACACCTATTTAGATCAAAATCCAGTATTTTCTAGAAAATGGTACCATTGTCCTTTTGTGAATATTTATGGACAGGTTGCTCTCTCTCCATGCTAAGATTCCTTCCTAAGTCTAGTCCCATGACTATAGCAGACCTTTAATTACCAAATGCCCATTGAGATGTCCAGTTGCAATCAGGACGCCTTCTTCACACAAGTCTTCTTTTTTTTTTTTTGAGACGGAGTCTCGCTCTGTCGCCCAGGCTGGAGTGCAGTGGCACGATCTCGGCTCACTGCAAGCTCCGCCTCCCGGGGTCATGCCATTCTCCTGCCTCCCGAGTAGCTGGGACTACAGGCGCCCGCCATGACGCCTGGCTAATTTTTTGTATTTTTTTGTAGAGACAGGGTTTCACCGTGTTAGCCAGGATGGTCTCGATCTCCTGACCTCGTGATCCGCCCGCCTTGGCCTCCCAAAGTGCTGGGATTACAGGCGTGAGCCACCGTGCCCGGCCTTCACGCGGGTCTTCCATAAAACATAAAACAATTCCTAATGGCTGAGAGCAATATGTTAAAGACAAATACACTTCTAAACTCACAACAGAATTTTCTTTTTTACCTTCACTGATACAGGATTTCAGTAGTGAGAAAAGTTTTTTGTTCGCTGCCTTCTGTTTCTAATTTAAAACCTTTGTTCCGAGGTCCTAGCTTTCTGTGTCCATTCAAAAAGATTCACAGCCTGGGAGTGCTCACGGATCTGAGTCCTGTTCACACACATAAACAGGCAGCTCACAATGGAATGCATGAAGTCATTCTACTAACAATGTTTTTGGGGGTTTTTTTTGTTTTTTTGAGACGGAGTGTCGCTCTTGTTGCCCGGGCTGGAGTGCAATGGCGCAATCTCGACTCACTGCAACCTCTGCCTCCCGGGTTCAAGCCATTCTCCTGCCTCAGCCTCGGAGTAACTGAGATTACAGGCACCCGCCACCATGCCCGGCTAATTTTTTGTATTTTTAGTAGAGATGAGGTTTCACCATGTTGGCCAGGCTGGTCTCAAACTCCTGACCTCAGGTGATCCACCCTTCTCGGCCACCCAAAGTGCTGAGATTACAGGCTTGAGTCACCTCGCCCAGCCCCTACTAACAATGTTTAAATATTTACATCTTCTCAGGAAGTTAGCAGTTCATGTCATAAGTTATTTAAGAAATTTTCAAGTTTGAATAAAATTTCTTAAGGATTTTTTTTTTTTTTTTTTTTTTTGAGACAGTCTTGCTCTGTCGCCAAGGCTGGAGTACAGTGGTGCAATCTCGGCTCACTGCAACCTCCGCCTCCCGGGTTCAAGCTATTCTCTGCCTCAGCCTCCTGAGTAGCTGGGACTACAGGCGCCCGCCACCACGCCAGGCTAATTTTTGCATTTTTACTAGAGATGGGGTTTCACCATCTTGGCCAGGCTGGTCTTGAACTCCTGACCTCGTGATCCACCCGCCTTGGCCTCCCAAAGTGCTGGGATTACAGGCGTGAGCCACCACGCCCAGCCTCTTTAGGAATTTTATGACAGCAGCACTTTACCAATATGTGGAGTAGCATGAAAGATAATATGGCCTGGAAAGGCCAGAACTTAAGAGCAGTGAATCTTCAAGAAGTGAGCCCAGAATATTTGTTCAGGAAATTAACATGAATGCATAAGGAGTGAAGATTGTGCTACCTACAAGTACTCTGCCCCAGCATTTTGCAAAGAGAAAAAGGTGTGAAATCAGCTTACTGTGTTCACCTCTGCACCGACATGGCTTAGCTTTGTGCCTGGCCAGAGTCAACATTTAATAAACATTTATACAAGAATCTAAGACGATTTTATCATAGAATACTACAAACCTCAGAGAAGGGAGCGTGTATTTATCAAACTCCACAGAATTCCTATGTGAGTCACCTGAAATATCAATTTATCCAAAACTCCACAAGCCACTCAATGAGAGAACGATTCATTCATTCTATTAAATGGAGTTGGTCTGAGTTTCATTGACTGTCAAACTATAGGTATCTCACACTTAAAAAATAATTTAATAATTTACTAATAATTTTAAAACTATGCTACCGTAAAAGTAAATGATTCTGTTGAGACAAAACCACTGTGTGACTTTGTCAGTTGTTATGTGACTTGATAGAGTGAGTTTAAGTTCCAAAATTCCTTGCAGCCTTACTTTAAAATCTCATGTTCTCAAATACTAGAAGACTTTTGGAGAATGCTGGGGTTTTTTTTTTTTCTTTTGGCCATATAGCATATATATTTGTGCACAGTTCTTAGCAAAAGGTAAATATTCAACATTTATTGAAATGAATTTATTCACTTTGGTGAGAAAGACAGCCCGAGCTCGTAACTCCCTGAGGAAAAAAAATGTGTAGTTTTTTCTCACTCTGAACTGTAATTCTTAGTGATTATAGTTATCATTGATTTGGGGACACTAAAGGAAAATATCTAACATATAAGCACTATTTTTCAGTGCTTATTTTATTAAAAACCAAAATATTAAAAATCAACCCAGTTTTACAGTCTTTATAAAAGAGCTGTTCTATAATCTTAACCCAAATGTAAGACAGATGATATCACTTCCCAGAACTAATTGCTAAAAAGTTAAAACATTTATAAAAACCCACAATAAAAAAATGGGAAATATACAGACTTCTAAATTTTGTATTCTGGAGCTTTTCTCTGATTTCTGTTCCACAAGCTTCCTTTTGAATCAGCTTCCATAAATCTTCATAGTCAATCATATTTTTCGAGATTGCACATTTGGTCAATTCATTTTGCAACCCTATACTCTTATTTTCAAAGAGAATGGGTGTGTGTGTGTGTGTGTGTGTGTGTGTGATTTAAAATTTAAAATCTTTCAAACCAGCGGAGTGTAACAGCTGGGTAACTTGCAGCTAGCTAGTCAGGAAACAGTTATTTTCAACAGTAATTGACACCAAAAAAGTAAACCACAACTTTGAAAGTTTCTAAGGGTTCATATATATTTTAAAAATTAAAGGGAACAATTAAGTCAGACAGACCGTTTTTCTTCTTCTTTTTAAGCTAAGTAGTCATACCTGGGAGTTAATATAAGGGGAATTCTTGGTGGGAGGGAGGATGATAGAAGAGAGAATGGGGGCTTTATAGAGGGGGAAGAAAAGGTTTGAGGACATTGAGAGGAAGTAGACAAACATACCTTTCCCTTAAAATTCAATTTCTAATTTTACCTTCCTTTGGCATGGAGACTCTAGAACATTCTTACACTATACACACCAATTGTCATATGGGAATATGCTGCTTATGATAATAAACCATGTATTTGCCAGTTTCGTGGAAAACAGACATGAATGCTTTTCAATATAATTTCATCTCCTAGGCAATGGAGCGCACGTGACTGACAAGGCTGCCTGATAGCTGGAGAGCTTTCTCAGAACAGTGAGCCTAGAGGCGCCCTCTAATTTACCCGAGGGTTTATAAGGTGAGGGTCACGCTGGCCATTTTCCTTTGGGGAAGAATAGAATCAGGGATGCACAGGATTCTATAAAGATAGAGGGACATTTTTTAGATGATGAAAATGTAGCGTCATCAGCAGAAATCAGACTTTTTTTCAGTCTAATTTCTTTTCTTTCTTTCTTTTTTTTTTTTTTTTTTTTTTGAGACGGAGTCTCGCTCTGTGGCCCAGGCTGGAGTGCAGTGGTGCGATCTCGGCTCACTGCAAGCTCCGCCTCCCGGGTTCACGCTATTCTCCTGCCTCAGCCTCCCGAGTAGCTGGGACTACAGGCGCCCGCCACCACGCCAGGCTAATGTTTTGTATTTTTTTTTAGTAGAGACGTGGTTTCACCGTGTTAGCCAGGATGGTCTCGATCTCCTGATCTCGTGTTCCGCCCTCCTCGGCCTCCCAAAGTGCTGAGATTACAGGCTGGAGCCACCGCGCCCGGCCTCAGTCTAATTTCTACAGCAGGGCCTCATCGCTGTGACCCAGGGAGGCCGCGCCTCCGAGGTGGGTCCATGCCACCTCCCTCTGTAGGAAGAGCCTTCAGCACCCCAGGGCCGTTCGCAGGGCTCTTCCCCAAACAAAATAAAATGAAACGGAGGTTTTCCTGAGCTTCAGCGTCAATCCGATCGGACCCCCGGGAGGTGCAGCGAGCTCGGGGACACGGTGTTCGGGTGGTAGGATTTCCAAAGTCCTGAGAGGCTGAAGGGGCAGGTATTGTTCCCGCCGCCCCTTGGGCAAGGGGCCTCCCGGAGCAAAGGCTAGGGGGCCCGGGCTCCCAGTTCTGGGGTCGTCCTGGTGACAGGGTGACCCCTAGACCATGGGGGCGGCTACAGCGACTGTCCGGGGGTGTCTGGGCCACGACCACCCGTCCCACCAGGAGGACGCAAGCACGGCACACTGGCTGGGGGCTCCGCACTGGGAGGCTGGGCCAGACCTGGAACGGCCTAACAGCAAGGAGAGAGCCGGACGCCGTGGCTCAGGCCTGGAACCCCAGCGCTTTGGGAGGCCGAGGCGGGAGAGTCGCTTGAGGCCAGGAGTTCGAGACCAGCCTGAGCATGACGGCGAAACCCCGTCTCTACAAAAAAAAAAAAAAAAAAAAAAAAAAAAAAATTTTAATTAGGCTGGCGCAGTGGCTCACATCTGTAGTCCCAGCTACTGGGGAGGCTGAAGCAGGAGGATCGCTTGAGTTCGGAAGGTCGAGGCTGCAGTGAGCTAGGATTGCGCCACTGCGCTCCAGCCCCGGGCGACAGACTGAGAACCTGTCTCGAAAAAAAAAGAAGAGGAAAGAAAAAGAAAACCAGAACGAGAAAGTGCGGCCAGCCCGGGCTCAGGAGCTGGGTGGGAAACAAAGCCGCCAGAAAATGACAAGTAAACACGCAGCCGCGGGAAGCCACTGGGCGGAGCGGGCGCTAATGAGCGCGCAGCGGGGCCGCCACGCCCGCGCGGACACGGAGCAGCGGCGCCTTTCCCTGCGACTGGCTGTGTCGCCTGGAGCCCGGCGGCCGCCACCCCAGGGAGAAAGCTCCGGTGAGGGGAGCAGACGCTGGGACCCGTGGTCTCGCCCTCTGCTCTTTCCTGGCTGGGGACGGGGGTAGCTCCCAGGCAAAGGCCCTCCGGGGTCTCCGCCCGGGGGGCCCCACCTGCCTTGTGACGGCTGAGATGTGCGCGTCCCACCCACTTTCCAAGGCGCCTTTGAAGTCGTTTCTCATTAAAAAACAAGCTTTTTGAATAACCAAATGTTCCTTTGGCGCCCTCCAATTTTATTTTACTGTAATCTATTGAGTTGTATTTGTTTTTCTGAATCCGCTTCCTAGGAAAGCGCCCCCTCCCATTTTAAACCGTTCTCAGGTGGTTTTTTCTGGAAGCAGCAGTGGTTTGTCCAGCAAGGATTAACTCTTTGCCTTTTCCCGTCTAAACTTCTGAAGACACCTGACAGCTCGTTTTAACTCTGCAAACGACAGTTCATCCTCCGGGGTGTGGATTCGGGCTCCCACGGCTGCCGCCTGGGGCAAGTGCGTCTCCCCGGGCGCCTACGCGGCCCCGCGCGCTCCTGGCAGCGTCGCCCCCAAGCCAGCCCCGCCTACCCAGAGAGGGCCAGTCCTGTTCCGGGTCCCGAGGGCCTTGGGAACCCCACAGGTTCCTTCCTCCCGGGGTTTCCCAGCAGACCACACACAGAGATGCGCTCCGGAACTTAGGGAACCATGTAAAGGAACTTCCAACAGGACTGGGCCTTTTATGCGTGTTTATCTTAAACATTTTAGGAAGCAAGTGGCAAAGTGCTTTAAAAGTAAAACTTAGAACGTCTGCACTAGCTGTTTGTGCAAACGAGTATTTGCTAAGCATTATCCGAGACCTGAGAATTGTTTCTTTATGATTTACTTATATGTGATAAGTTCCCTTTGTAGAAAGAGACTATATTTAATCATAAATATATCGTCATAGGTACAAGGATAAAATTTAAGAAGAGAGGACTACAGATCACTTTAACGCTAAAGGGAATTGTAGTGAAGCATGGATGTTTTCCCATTAAGGTGACTTTCTTCTGGGGTGTGTGTGTGTGTGTGTGTTTAGTTTTTTGTGCCTTTATGTTTCTATCAGTTTGTCTTTCCCAGTGAAAATTAATTCAAATGTGTCTTCATTGATATATTTCAAGTGTTGTGCGCTGAACATTGAGTCAGAATAATTTGATTAAGGTTCAATGATAAAACCACTCTGTCTCACTGATTTTAATTAAACTGGAATCTGAAAAACACATGCATTCAATATAGTGGCCATTATTTTTAATTCTAAACAAACTTTTTTGGTTTTGAGCCAATATTTTTAGTTCTAAACCAACATTTTTGGTTGGTTTAGTTCTAAACCAACATGTTGAAACCTTGGGAGGTTTTCGCATTTTCCAGAGTGAGAACTGCTTGCATTGACTTCCCGGAATGTGTAGTACCAGACCCTCAACCTTAAAAGAAGTTCCATTCTTCTCCACTTCTCTCTTCTCCCCAGGACCCATGACTTTACACTTCAATATTTCTGCAGGGCTCACAGTTCACTGAGAGGTAAGTGAAAGTCAAGAACCACTGGAAGACAATGAAAATTTCATTCTTGTGGGCAATTTTAACTCTTAACTGTTACAAATGATAGTATCTGCGTACAAGATCTTCTATATACCAGATTCAGACACCACATTTTGACTCTTTTTTTTCACATGAATATACTTCCCATATGAACTCAAAAAGAAATCTATAAATATAAAATTATTTTAGAGATATTTCTTAGACCATGACAAATTATCCAAAACTTGAAAAAAGTTAAAAAGATAGATGGCAATTCTTGTTGATGTCAGATAGAGGCATTGTTTAGCAGGCACCTGTGGATTTTCTATATAGGTGAATATATTTGGTAGGACTCATCGCTTACTATTGATTAAAGATTAAGGACTTATGGGAAGTTACATGTCAGACATTAATCCATTAGAGATGCAGATTTCTGTCCAGGAGAAAAGATAATGCTAAAGGTTATGGCTTATCATCTTGTGGGACACTAACTTGTTTGGTATCTATGAACAAATTCACTTCAGTGTTTCTCTGACCATCCACTGTGTAAATGTTCATACCTCCCATTCTCATCTGAGCCAGTCTTCACATCTAATTTATCCCCTTATTAACTTATTAAAGTTGAACTTAACTTATTAAAGTTTTAACTTATTTAACTGAATTTACTTATTAAAGTTGAATTTGACTTTAATAAGTTGAATTAATGCAATTGCTCAGTAAACATTAATTTAATTGAAGCTCATTCTTATCCAGAATAAATATAAAATGCAAGGTTCTTTGTGACACAAATATTTATAGAAACAATAAGAAATAACGTAGCTGGCTGGCTCATACCTGTAATCCCAACACTTTTGGAGGCCCAGGCGGGAGGATCACTTGAGCCCAGGAGTTCCAGACCAGCCTTGGCAACATTGTGACACTCCATCTCTACAAGAAAAAATTTTTTTAATTCAGAAAATTATTCAGATGTGGTGGCATGTGCCTGTGGTCCCAGCTACTTGGGAGGCTGAGGGGGAAGATCTTTTGAGTTCAGGGGGTCGAGACTGCGTGAGCTATGATTATGCCACTGAGCTCTAACCTGGGCGACAGAGTGAGACCCTGTCTCAAAAAAAAAAAAAAAAAAAAAAAAGGAAGGAAGGAAGAGAGAGAAGCAAACAACTAGAAATACTAGCAATATAAAAGTGATTAGTTTTGTATTTATATGACATTTAACTAATAAACTCTAAAATATTAGCTGAAAGAACAAAAGAAAATGCTTGCCTTTATATTGTCTCGTGTTCAACATAATTATGATAATTTAAAAAGATGTAAAGATCTTCATTTTAAAAATGTGTTGCTGAAAGTGAATAAATGAGTAAAACTGAGGGGAAATAATCTTTTCCTCTAAAGCTTAAAAACTTAGTAAATAAATAGCATAATATATGGAAAGGACATAGGCTTTGGGTGAATCTAACTTGGGCTCAAATCAAGCTCTATCCTTTGGGCAAGTTACTACATTCTCCAAGCCTCAGTTGTTTCAACTGTAGATTAGACTTGGTAATAACACCTTCCTCCCAGGATTGCTCAGGGAATAAGGTAAAGTCTGCAAAGTGCAGGGAGCTGTCTGGCAAACGGTAAAAAATGAAAGCATAATAAGTAATACTTTTGCATCCTACAAGTCTTTCTTATTTTTTTAATTAAAACAAATTTTTTATAGACACGTCTCTCTCTGTCATCCAGGCTAGAGTGCAGTGTCACGATCAGAGCTCACTGCAGCCATGAACCCCTAGGCTCCTGGGCTCTTGGACTTAAGCTGTCCTCCCACCTCATCCTCCTGAGTAGCTGGAACTACAGTCATGAAGCTTTATGTTAAGTTTCATCTACTAAATTGTAACAACTAAAACTTGAGGACTAAAATATATGGAAAAATTACTACTACATGAAAAATTGTGTTAAAGTCGTATCATTTATCTCTTTATTAGTGAACTGGGCTATAAATGTTCTAAAGATATGCTCAGGCTGGGTGTGGTGGCCCACACTTGTAATCCTAACAGTTTGGGAGGCCAAGACAGGAGGATCACTTGAGCCCCACAATTTGAGATCTGCCTGGGCAACATAGCAAGACACCATCTCTACAACAACAAGGAAGATAGTGATATGGTTAGGCTTTATGTCCCCACCCAAATCTCATCTTAAATTGTAATCCCCATAATTCCCATAATCCTCACATATCAAGGGAGAGACCAGGTGGAGGTAAATGAATCATGGGGAGAGTTTCCCGCATGCTGTTCTCATGATAGTGAGTTCTCACGAGATCTGTTGGTTTTATAAGGGGCTCTCCCCCCTTCAATGGGTACTTCTCCTTCCTGCCACCTTGTGAAGAAGGTGCCTTGCTTCCCCTTCCACCATGATTGTAAGTTTCCTGAGGCCTCCCCAGCCATGCTATACTGTGAGCCAATTAAACCCCTTTCCTTTATAAATTATTCAGTCTCGGGTAGTTCCTTATAGCAGTACAGAAATTGACTAATACAGATATGCCCAAATTAATAAAAATGATGCAAACCAATAATTGTGTGGCCACTAAAATCTTTACTTAACTGGCATCACACTCTTTACTTATGTTAAAGGAATAAATTGCATGCATTAGTTATCTATTGCTGTGTAGAAATTCCCCCACTGCAGCAATGTAACACAACACACACCTATTATCTCAACGAATCCGTGAGTCGGGAGTCCAGCGACAGACTTGCCGGCTCTCCTGCTGGGGTCTCACAAGGCGGTCGCCAGGTTATGTCCAGGGTGGGTTCTCATGCGGAGTCTGACTGGGGGAGCGTGCATGCCCCTGCTCGCATGTGTTTGGTAACACTCAGCTCCTTTCAGTTGTAGGATCTGTGGCAGCTGCTGGCTTCTTCAGAGCCAGTGAGGGAGACAGCGAGTCTCCCCAAAAGACAGTCCTGTGTGATGTGAGTCATCCCCAGAGTGACATCCCATCACCTTTGCTGTAGCCGTTGGTTAGAAGTCAGTCACCAGTCCTTCTCTGTGACTCAGGGGAGATGACTACATAAAAGGCAGTTACACCTGGAGGCACCTGGGAGTCTGCCACACGCCCCCCTGCCTCCCTCGCATGTGCAAAAGTCATTCACCTGCTCTAGGTACCTAAGATTTTCGGAGCTTCATGGCATCAGCTCAAAGCCTGAAATGTCAACATCTAAATCAGGTCAAAGGTCAGTGGAGGGTCATGGTGCAATCATTCGGTTCAGGTTCTGGGACACAATTCCTCTCCATGGATGGGCCCGGGAAGCTAAAGAGATTAGTGACCTGTCCCGTGGTGGAGCAGGCACCAGATGCAGCTGTAGACATTTCAGTTTTCAAGGGGAGGAAATGGCAGATAAAAGGCATCTTGACTGTGTAGCAATTCCAAATCCAGAAAAGTAAAGGTTGGGAGTTCTCAGTCAGGTTTCCAGGGCTGGGGAGAATTCTCCTGGCTTCTGGATTCCCTGTCTGGGCTCTTGGTCCCCGCATCTACACTGCACTTGTTTGGAAGGAAAGGTTGCCCATGTTTGCAGCTGAGGAGCTTTTTAGCCTACTTCCAGCCAGCAAAATCTGGGGAGTCTGGCAGCCTCCTTTCATCCTGTGCTCTCTCTGTTCCTTCCCACCCAGGCTGGCAGTGTTTCTGTGAAAGTGATTTCCTCAAAATCTTTGTCTCTCATGGATTTCACCTGGGTCTACTCCATGAGCCGAAGGCCTCACCTGCCGATGTTTTTGAGGCAAGCCTTTTCTATCTTTGAGTCCTGCCGAGGTGACTCGGAGTCAACGCCCTTCGGCTCCTCAGGGGCTCCCTGGTTCGATCCATGAGGCTCAGCCCTGACCTCTCTAAGGCACCCTTGGTGGGGCAGAATGCTGAGGCTATGATCTTTCTGAGGCCTTATCCAAAGGCTGTGCAGACACAGCCCAGCCACCTGGGCTCCTGGGCTTACACTGTCTTGACAGCACCATCTCTTGCTATCTGGAGAGGCCGACGCCTCAATTCTGGACGTCTGGACCCAAACCGTGAGACATAAACTTCTGTGGCTGTCCTCTGCCCAGTTTGCGGTCACATGTCGCAGCCGCCCGAGGTGACTAAGACAGGAAACTAAAGTGGCTGTTTCTTCCTCCAAGCTTTCGAAACTTTTTTTTTTTTTTTAATTGAGACAGAGCCTCGCTCTGTCACCCAGGCTGGAATCTAGTGGCAAGATCTTGGCTCATGCAACCTCTGCCTCCCAGGTTCAAGCAATTCTTCTGCCTCAGCCTCCCTAGTAACTAAGACTACAGGCGCCCAGCACCACGCCCGGCTAATTTTTATATTTTCAGTACAGACAGGATTTCTCCATGTTGGCCAGGCTGGTCTCAAAACTCCTGACCTCAGGTGATCCACCCGCCTTGGCCTCCCAAAGTGCTGGGATTACAAGCGTGAGCTCCCGCGCCCAACCTGAAACTTGGTTCTTTATCAACTTAGGGTCCCGGAGAGCAAAGCACCCGGCCTCCCATCCGCCCAGTGTCTTGCAGCGTCATCTTCATTTCCACCAAAAGGTCACGGATACATTGCTGCTTTCGCACCCAGCACGTTTTAGACAGTAAGCTTGTTCATGTGTCTTTCGCACCCAGCACGTTTTAGACAGTATGCTTGTTGATGTGTCTCTGTCCTTAACTCGGTTGAACTTTCTGAGAAAGTCCCCTCAGCATTTTAGAACTTGTGATGTTTCAGAATGTGGCCTCTAACCAGACCATAGGGCTCAGCTGGCAGCCCTGCTGCCTCCCAGCAGAGGTCACATGAGCTTCTTGTGCTTCCTTTTTCTCATCTGCACACTGGAAACGACAACAATAGAACCCATCCCACAGCGGGGTGCTGGCCAGTTGAATTGATCCCCACAAAGTGCTTACAACAGTGCCTGCCCCATAGCAAGTGCTGTATGCACACTGGCTATTGTGACGTTTGTATCCTAATACAAATGAAGATTGACCATGCTAAGGATGCGAACATTTGCTGAATGAGCTATAATTTGATATTCTGTCCTAAACATTCAATTATATTTGCTTTTCTTAAAAAAAAAGAAAGGTGTGATTGTGTGTGTGTGTGTTTACTATAAGCCACATCAAATTCTTTCAAGCAATAGGTATAAATGAAATAAGCAGCAGCAATTTATAAGGTCCCTTTCTACTCTAGAAATCTAAAAGTAAAACTTCAGCAAACCTAAAGTTTAGGGCAATGAGACAGGCTGGATGGTCGGGTTGCCTGGTACCAAGGTCTGAATGTGCCCCTCAGAATTCATGAATTAGAAACTTAGTCGCCCGTGCAAAAGTGTTGGGAGGTAGGGCCTCGTGGGAGGTGTTTAGGTTATGAGAGCTGTGCCCTCATGATGGTTCAATGCCCCTATAAAAAGGGCCAGTGGGAGTGGGTGTTCTCTCTTGCTCTCTCTCTCTCTCTCCTGCTTTTCTGCCATGTGAGGACATGGCGTTCCTCCCCTCTGGAGGATGCGGCATCTAAGGTGTCATATTGGAAGCAGTGAGGCTAGGCCTGAGCTGCCAGGGCCTTGATCAGGCCCGAGAACTGTGAGAAATAAATACCTGGCCTTTGTAAGTTACTCAGTCTCAGGTGTTCTCTTATAGCAGCACAAACTGGACTAAGACATGTGGGTAGCAGGATTTAAAAATACATTTTAAAATATTTTTTTGTTTGACAGTTTCAAAAATGTATCCTACTTCCCTCCTTCTCTGACTTGTTTGTTTTTACCATGTATTATTATAGTTGATTTTACACAAATACACTTTTAGACTAACTCATTAACTCTGAACATCACTATGTCCCCCTCTATTTCTAAAAATAACAAAAGTGATTTCTATTTATTGAGCACCTACCGAGTGCCAGGCTCCATGCTGGGTTCTATTTTCTTTAGAACATCTATTTCATTATTACTTAACAATTATCTGCTTTACACATTATAAGCCAAACTCTGTTCTATACTCCATGTGGGTTTAACTGAATATATAGTCACCACAGCCTTGCAAAGTAGATATTTAATTACGCAGGTGAACAAACTGAGGCTTGTTAAAAAACTAGAACAAGGTCTCACTGTGATTCCAACCAGACTTGTCTTATCATTATTACAAATGATGCTTTCTCTCATGATAGACATCTATAATTTACCTAGTTGGAATTGCTGCACACATTTTGTTTGGTGTTTTGATTTTTTAATTATATTGTGTATATATTTCCATGTAGCACATAATAATTTACATAATTATGGTAACATTGTTACACCCAATTACCTACTTCAATTCAGCTAATTTCCTCTTGGTAAACATTGATTGAGTGTTTATGTGCCAGATTCTATCAAATGCCAAGGAAATAAAAATAACTGAGATAAGGTTCCTAACCCCAAACTTTCATCTAGCCAGG
Organism: Homo sapiens; assembly: GCF_000001405.40. Lineage (NCBI taxonomy): Eukaryota > Metazoa > Chordata > Mammalia > Primates > Hominidae > Homo > Homo sapiens. The sequence goes on from NT_187557.1 coordinate 40,858, forward strand.
AGACATACATTATGTGAAAAGATAAGCATAACGCAGTGTGATACATGCATTTCTCAATGGTTGCACATTTGAGTTATTGCTAACTTGGCTGTTATCAATAGCGTTAGTACTGCCAGGCACGGTGGTTCACGCCTGTAATCCCAGCACTTTGGGAGGACGAAGCGGGCTGATCACGAGATCAGGAGATCGAGACCATCCTGGCTAACATGGTGAAACCCCGTCTCTACTAAAAATACAAAAAAAATTAGCCAGGCGTGGTGGCGGGCGCCTGTAGTCCCAGCTGTTCGGGGGGCTGAGGCAGGAGAACGGTGTGAACCCGGGAGGCAGAGCTTGCAGTGAGCTGAGATCACACCATTGAACTCCAGCCTGGGTGACAGAGCGAGACTCCATCTCAAAAAAAAAAAAAAAATAGCTTTAGTACAAATATTTTCACCATACCCCTGAATTATAGTTTTCAAAGAACACTAAGAAGCCAAAGCATAGGGACAATGGCCCTGCTTCCATTATGACAGCCAGACTGCTTTCCAGGATGCCTGCACCAAGCTCGTTTCTCAGTATCCAGTGCGTGGAAAGAGGATGGTCACACCTGCCCTTTACGTCACGAAGAAGAGGTTATGAGGCTTCACATAATCTATAAATATACGTGGTTACTGCTGATGTGTAAAGCGTAAGTATCCTTTGACTACTTGTTTAGCAAAGTGTGGATTATATGTTCATGCCTATACATTCATATCAATCCGTGTGCATTTTGGATGTAAACCTGTATCATCTTTTTACATTTATTGTTTTCAGATTTCATTGTCTCTTACAAAACAAAGTTCCTTTTCATTGTGTATAAAAGTTTTTAATAATGTTATTTTGTTAAGCTTAACTATGATGTCTCTGATTATATTATTTTATCTCCAATAAGCAAAAATGAACATCTCCACCGTTGAGATGAACGAATTTTTTCATTCAAAAAGCCCTGCTTTTCGCGATTGGCCTTGCTTGTGATTAGTGCATAGTGTGTGCAGAGTGTAAATGTGAGAGCGGGCCCTGATTCTTCAGCACTTCCTCTCCCACATTTCATTATTCCAGGCTTATGATATCTTATACTTTTAGAACTTTGGATTTCTTTCTGGAGTTGATTCCCATGCCCTGAGTGTAACATTTCCGTATAGATAATTATTATTGTATAATACATTGTTTTTTTTTTTTTTTTGAGACGGAGTCTTGCTCTGTCACCCAGGCTGGAGTGCAGTGGCATGATCTCAGTTCACTGCAACCTCTGCCTCCTGGGTTCAAGTGATTCTTCTGCCTCAGCCTCCTAAGAAGCTGGGACTACAGGCGTACGCCACCATTCCCATCTAATTTTTGTGTTTTTACTAGAGATGGGGTTTCACCATATCAGCCAGGCTGGTCTCAAACTCCTGACCTCATGATCCACCTGCCTCGGCCTCCTAAAGTGCTGGGATTACAGGCGTGAGCCACCGCTCACGGCCTATTGTGTAATACATTCTAAACCTGTCGCCAGTTCCCTTTCATTACCTCATTTGACAGAGTAAGTGGTCAAACCTCTGAGGAGAGCTGAGGAAGGCCAAGGCCTGAGGTCCTCGAGGACCTGGGAGAGCTTCAGGTCTGCAGAACCAACCCAGGAACTGCCGGGCCGCTCCAGGGGCCCGCTTCTACTGCCACGAGCATCTTAGGTTCTCTTGCTGACAGCCCCTGATGCCTGCCTGCCTGCCTGCGTGTGTTGCTGCCACCTCTGCATTTCTCCAGCCCTCTGTCTGTCTGGTGGCCTGGTCTAGTGGCCCCAGCTGTCTAGGTCCCCACTGCTGTGGCTGTGATCCTGCGTTGTGCAGGAGGCGCAGCTGCCATCCCCGCAGCCACAGCAAGCCTGCCAACTCAGGCTCAAGCAGAAGGGGAGCAGCGCCCCCATTCTTCCTGCTGGATGACACCCCAGCTCTTGTCTCTTCCTGGAATGGAGGTGGGAGGGCTTGGGGAAGATTCCACCATGATAGGACCCCATCTCCAAACTAAGGGGCAGCTCTTTCAGTTACCGTCCTCTACAAGAATTTGCTTTAAGTTCCAAGAAACAAAGGTGGAATGTATTTTAACACCATCACACATCAAAAGTGTTCTTTCCACTGCTGATGGCTCCGTTCTTCAAGTCAAGGGCATATCTTTAGGGTGTTCTTGGGGGTATCGGGGTCCTGCTACCAGAGACCTCTTCACAGGTGTCCTCAGAAGTCCTGGGTACCCTCATCCCTCCTTATCTCAGAGACCTCTGAGGGGATGCAGATGAGGCCCCTGGTAAGCCTGCCCAGGGCCTGGCTAGATTTCCACCCCAGGGAAACCTGCTCTTGAGGACTCTGCAACATCCCAGTGACCACCAGCAGCCCATCTCTGTTTCACAGTGGTGACAATCTCCAGGCCCACACTAGCAAGCCTGGGTCTTCTCCCTCTCCCGTTGCCCTGACCTGAGACCCTTGCGGCTGACTGTTTCACTGCCTCACTCCCAGGTTTCAGTCACTACTTCTGATCTGCCATGTGCAAGGAAAACAGATATCCACGCTTGTTAGAACTGGGGAGAAAACTAGAGATTTTTAAGAAAAATCTATGACTATAATGACCATCATTTATAAACAACAACACTTTTAAAAATCAGATATTTGGTTGGTCAACTGTAAAGAAAATTAAAAAATGCCCCATAAAGTTTAGATGAATATTTATCCCACCTACAAGGAAAATGCATGAACGTATAGAAGTACTGTGACACAAAGTCCATTTGAGAGGCTAAAAGGCCAAAGTGTCCGGGGGCTGAAAACCTGCAGCCACCTGCCGGGTTCAAATGCCAGCTCTACCGCTTGACAGGCTACATGACTGTAACAAGTTACTTAACTTCTTTATACCTCAATTTTCATCATCTGCAAAATGGAGTTGATACTAATAATGCCTAGCTTACATGGTTTTTGTGAAGACTAAATTATCTGATCTGTATAAAGCATTTGGAGGCAGGCTGCCCACAGTAAATCCTATATAAGCGCTTGCTATTCTATTATTATCAAGATTTCAACAATTATGACTATTTAGTTCATGGGCTCTGTGACATCTATCTTGATTCTTAAGATCATTTTCCTTATTTCTTGTTATCTGTGAAGTCTTGAATAGCTGAGGTTACTGAGTAGTTCACTTCTATATAGGAGAGATACTATAAATGCTTCAGTAATGCACTCATGATGGAATGAAGACAGTTGACCATGTTCTTTGTTTTTGGTATAATTTTAAAAGATATATAGACACATATGCACATGTATACATACATATGCATACATCACATGCACTCATTTGTGCAAATAACCAATGGAGATTTAATGTCACTGTGAATTGCAAAACACACTCTACTGAGAGTATTAAAAAATAATGATGCTCACAAACTGAGATAGGTTGTCTTGATCGGACTCTGGTCACCCTGTTTAGGAAACAGTGTAATTGTACATGCTATGGTCTCCTCCATTGAGTTCAAGGACTCAGGAAATTGTATACTAGGTTTCCTGAGACAAAGCACCACTTTAATCAAATAATTAGTTATTTTGGTGTTTTAAAGCACAGCCCACAACAAACCATTATTTATTGTCCACCTAATGTATGCAAAGTAGCAAAACAAATAGATTTGCTATTAGTTTTTTAAAAAGTTAAATTATTTCTGGCGCCAGAACTAATTATTTAGTTAAAATCACTTTAGCATTGCTGCTATGTATATACTTTTATTAATTATCTATTTGATATAAATGTCTTCAAGTACGGTCATTAATGGAAAATGTTTGCTAAAACCAATAAATGATAGGATTTTGAAATCCATCAAAGTCTGCCAAATGCTAGCACTTTCACTTGTGTCTTGGTTCCTACTAAACAATTAACATTTATTATATTAAAATCCTTTAAGTTAACCATTTTATCTTGGCAGTTATCAACTCTGAGAGAGCGAATTTGTAGAGCCCTAATTCTGCAGCGAAGGCAAGTCTGTGATTTTGAAAATGGGGAAGATTGGAATCTGCCCTCTTCAGACTTAAAACAGGGGATCTTAATCAGGCTCCTCTTTCCTGGTGGATGGAGGTGGGGAAAGGCACGATTCTATAGACCAAGCCTGGCTGGATCTGTCGTCTTTCATTCAGGCTTCAAAGTACTGGTCATGCCAAGTTTCATGTGGAAGGACGGTAGAGCCTGATAAACCTGCCCTTGGCCGTCCTCGGAGAGATTGACTAGGCCTGTGGTCAACGCTTTAAGTATCTTGTTCTCCACTGATCTCATCCTTTGGTCTAACCTAGAGATCTACAACTCAACAAATGTCATCATCGGTGTTCCCCGGATGAGAAAAATCAGTGGCTTACATGTTCATAGCTACTTGAACAGGAAAAAAAAAAAAAAAAAGGGCTTTGAGTTTTTCCTCCAAAATATTGTTACCCCTGAAACACATCTGTAGGCCTGGTTTTGAAACCCGTGGTAGCAGAGCCTACATGTTAGGGGCTTGAGGAGGACAGGGAGGTTGGGTGTTTCCACTCTGCATGTGAATCCTCTGAATTATACTTTTTTTACTCTGCTGTTTCAACAGTCCACTTGACATTAATGCCTACTAATTTGGGTAAATGTGGCTCTAGATCCTTTAAATGAAGAAAAAATCAAAAGCATGAAAAAGTGAAAACAAATTTAAATTTAGCAATTCAAGGTGCAATAAAACACCACCATATCCTTTAAAAAGGTAATTACATTGTAAGTCTCTGGTTAAAATGGAAACTGAGAGAAAGATTAATAAAATACATTATTGAGAAAGTAATCCATTTTTAAAGTTCAACTAATTCAACACAGCATACATTTACTAAAAGCCTAAACTATATTCCTGTCATAAGTATAATTAAGTAACTAATAAAATAAACCCAAAGCTCGATATTGTTTATATGGCTTGGAAGTAATTCCCAAGTACTTCTGAGCCCCAGGGGTAGGAGCCTTGTCCTGAGTAAGTCACTTCATTTGTCTAGGTGTTAATTCTTCTAACTGTAAAATGAAAATTATTTCCTCATGGAAAAATTCTTCTCTCTTCCTGTTTCCTTATAAGGCCCTTCAAATCCATTACCTTCTAATACTCCTTACATTCCTCCAGCATTAAATAAGGTGTTTAAACACAAGGTGAGTCATTTTCTTTTTTTTTTGGAAACGGAATTTTTTTGCTCTTGTCACCCAGGCTGGAGTGCAGTGGCATGATCTCGGCTCACTGCAACCTCTGCCTCCTAGGTTCAAGCGATTCTTCTGCCTCAGCCTCCCAAGTAGCTGGGATTACAGGCACGTGTCACCATGCCTGGCTAATTTTGTATTTTTAGTAGAGACAGGGTTTCACTATGTTGGACAGGCTGGTCTCGAACTCCTAACTCAGGTGATCCACTCAACTCGGCTTCCCAAAGTGCTGGGATTACAGGCGTGAGCCACCGCGCCCAGCCAGGTGAGTCATTTTCTAACTTGAAAATTTATTCTAATTATATTTATTGTCAACATAACTATATAAAATCTGTCCAATTCCTCAAAAGTCAATTTCAACAATGCGTTTGAAGGCAGATGCTTTCTCTGCCCATCACTGACTAAATTCCTTAGCTTTTGGGCCTAGGAAAATGACATGAAAATCCGGCAAGATGACGTCATGCCACAAGAAGGTTAATGTAAGAGAACCTCTGGCAAGTGAGACCGCCAGGTGGGCCCCTCCAGGCCTCTCTGCTCTGAACTCAACACACACAGCTCCTAAAAAGAGGAAACCAAAGCCGGAGTGGGTGAAGAGCCAGAGGAAGCCTAACATTTAGGATATTAAAATTCAGATCTCCCTTCCACAGTCCAGTTAACATAGACTTTAAAGTGTGCATGATGGACTTAGAAGTGAATGCAGGTTGAGCCTTAGACTAGCATAAAGTAGGGAGCAACACCCCAAATTATGGTAAACACTGAAAATATAGTAAATGGGCCTTAGACTTTGACTCCATTTATTTATAATTAGCAAGAAAACAGATTCCTTTAATGATTCCAAGGTGTTAAAAAGTGTTACAAAAAATTATTTCTGAAGCATCTCATTCAGACAGACAGAAAACGGTGGAAAGGCATTAGGGGCCGGAATGGTGCCCACCCATCCTGGGCGCCAGGCACAGGGCGCATTCTCACAAACATCTCCCCTTTCCCTTGTTGGGAAGACACAGGGTTGGATGAAATGATTTCTAAAGTCTGTTTAACAATAAAATTGGTCACATTTTGCTATTTCCACATCTTTGGTCATGAGAAAAATGAAGTCACTATGTAAATGATAGCCTCTAAGATGTTCAATGAATCAGTCTCAGAGACAGAAAAGTTTTGTCAAAAAACCATAAAAACAATTTTGGTGCCCTGGAGGCATCAAAAATTAGTTACCACCAATAGTTGCGGGACATTATCAAACACTTCAAATCTTTTCATTAGAAATTGACATTTTTCCTATTTTTGCTCTTAGTAGGTACTAGTTAAAATTCTACATTAATGATGAAATGCTATTTGGAGTAGAACATGTATTCTTTAATGCCTCTAAGTATTTTATTAGAGATCATTTTATAATTTCCTCATAGGAACATGAGTCAAAGTCTACTGCATTTAAATAATTACTTGCCTTACACACACCACAAAAGCATTAGTTGGACACTGGTATAAATTCCATACAAAATGCCAGTTCTTTGAAGCCATCTGAATCTCCTTGAGAATATTTCCTAAAAGCCTCACCTATGACTTTAAAACGGAAGATGGAGAAAATGCCAGTTGCAACCTCGCTGGCTCTCATTAAGGGGTCACTGTCAGAAATTGGTTGAGGAGAAGGAGAAGGAGGGGTAATTTCCCTTTAAAATGGAGAGGAGCTTCTTTTAGAAAGGAAATTCGCTGAGGAAGTTGTTTTAAAACAAATAAATGTTCAGGATGAAGCCAGCAAAAGGTGTGAAGGGGCCCGCTTTGATTTTCCAATTTGTGTATTTGGGCTCAGACAAGGACAACATTTTATGCACATATTAATCGAATGCAAATACACCTCCCGCGAGGACAGCGGTATTTGACACTGAGTATTGTCAACAGAAAGGTTTTTGGCGTATTTTTTAATCTCATCAAGGTGCCTATGGAAGGGGCAGTACCCGGGGAGGTGGGACGTCCCTGTGCCTGGGAATGGAGTCTGTGCTGGACTTCCAGATGGGTCCGGAGCAAGTGATTTACGGAATTATCTCCACATCAATGAGTTTTTGGAAAGCTGTAAACATCTCCTTCCAAGTCTTCAGGTGACTGTGTTTGTTTAGCCCCCTCCTCCTCTCCCCCAGGAGCTCTGGTTCTTCAACTTGAGTGGGCATCAATCACCTGGGGGGCTTGTGACAACAGTTTTCGAGGCCCCACCCCACCTGAGGCCACAGCTCTGTGGGGCCCAGGGATGTGCATTTCTCACAAGTCGCCGGGTGACGCTGGTCCAAGACCACACCTTGAGACCCGCTGCTCTAAACATCGGTTTTGATCCTCAGATGCTCTAAAACGTTGCTTGTTCCGAAAAAGGGGGACAGCAAACTAGAGCTTTTACCACACATTGGATAAAGAAGTTGTGCTCATTCAACACCAACAGGAAGCTTGTTTCCAAAGGCTTACCAAGCTGTGCAGGGCGAAACCTGTCATGAGGTGAGGGTGGGTGAAGGCTTGGAGGTGAAGGAAATCTATCTTTTCACGCCCCAGTGCTGGTTTCTTGTCTTTTTTGTAGGGAACGGCATTCAAACACAGACCCATGCAGTAAGCTGTGGACACACTTAGAGAAACCCGAGTTGCTTTTTATTTATTCATCCATCGTTCTTTCACTCAAAAACATGTATTAAATGCCTCCTGTGTGCAGGTGCTGTTCTGGGCTTTTAGGAAATGTGGGTGAACAGTGGACTCCTTGGCCCTGGAGCTTCGGTAGGAGAAACAGTAAAGAGGTCTAAGATTTAGCTGCCATGGTCTGGAAGGAGGTGACCTGTGCGATGACAAAGCCAGGAAGGTGGGAGAGGGGTCCAGGAGTGGGCAGCGTGGGGCAGCTGCGAAGGGGATGGGGGCTGGTGGCAGGTGAGCCCAGATGAGGTGGGCAGTGGGAGGGGCTCTTACCAGAAAGGGGTCCCGATCCGGACCCCAAGAGAGGGATTTTGGATCTTGCGCAAGAAAGAATCCAGGGCGAGTTCAGACAGTAAAGTGAAAGCAAGTTTATTAAAAAGGAAAGGAATAAAGAAGCGGCCACTCCATAGGAGAGCAACCCCGAGAGCAGCCTGTTGCTCATTTTTATGGTTATTTTTTGATGATATGCTAAACAAGGAGTGGATTATTCATGCTTCCCTTTTTCAGACCATAAACTGTCATGGCGCTGGTGGGAGTGTAGCATCGAGGACGACCAGAGCTCACTCTTATCGCCATCTTGGTTTTGGTGGGATTTGGGCTCTCCTCTACTGCAACCAGTTTTATCGGCAAGGTCTTTATGACCTGTGCCTTATACTGACCTCTTATCTCATCCCGTGACTTAGAATGTCTAACTTACTGGGAATGCAGTAGGTCTCACCCTTATTTTACCAAGCCCCTACTCAAGATGGAGTCGCTCTGGTTCAAATGCCTCTGACAGGGCCTCTGAGGGAAGAGTGCTCCCCAGGAAGGGCCCTCGAGGGCAGAGGCCCTGCCCTGGACCCTGACTCCATCCTCAGGAAGCAGCAAGGAGGTCGGAGGGGTGAGCAGGGAGGACAGGAGGATGGAGGAGGGACGGCCCAGACTGAGCCTGATGCTGTGCTGAGAGGAGACAGGTATGCACAGGTGGGCAGAGAGTGGCGATGGGGACCCGGACTTGTCCAGGTGGGAGGGGCTGTGGCCCGGACCAGGGGCTTCGGGGACAGGGATGAGAAGCAGGAGGATTCTGGACACAGTTCTGAGGAAGAGCTGTATTCCTCTTATTGGGATTCCATGGCCTTCATCCTTGTCTAGAGAGGTTGGTGCCGGCCGTGCCTCTGTGGGAGGGGTGTGGGCTGAACCCAGGCTCCTTAGTGAAGCATTGCCCTGGCCTGAGCTTCTGCCACAGTCTGACTGGAACAGCACTAGGCCATTTATCTGTTTTCACAGTAGATGTCCCTGACACTACCAGGTCGTGCTACATTTGTCAGTGGGTCGCCTTGACAGGCTCCTCGGCCATCTCCTTCCCTTCAGGTTACTTGTCTTTTGTGCCAGCAACCCACACCCCTCACCCACACAGTTTCTCCATTTCCCCTAAGTCAGTGGACACTTGGACCCCACCCCCCACCCCGAGACACTGGGTCAGGATGGGGCTCAGGACAGACACCAGTGCACCATCCATTGGTTGAGTACACACTTCAGCATGGCGTCTTTCATGCGGTCAGTGAGAAGCTCGTCATTGGGACCCCAACAAGGTTCAGCACATAGAGGGGGCTAAGTCCCCAATTCCCAGGGGCTGTCCTGAAATTCTCCATAGTCTGCCATTGAAAAGGAGACATGGGATGTCCCCCTTATGTGGCCAGGCTGCCTTTCAGCCACCAACCACCCAGCCGAGGTGGGGGATGGCCCGATCCTCATTACTGGTGCCACAGAGGTGCTGCCTCAGGGCAAGGTGGCCTGTGGTCGATGCCATTTCACTCATCTCAACCCAGCAGAGGACAATGCCCTCCATCTGTTCCCGTAGACAGAGAAGCCACCCCATGACCGACTCTCTGCCCTTCTGTCTGAACCCATTTCTCAGCTCCATCCATTCTACAGTAGTGTTGGCCCAAGCTGCCATCTTGCAGGCAGGGGCAAATCTTGGGGGCTGCTCCCTGCAGGTGCAGTTGGTCTGCCTTTATCTTGGTGGTGCCTGCTGGTGGCGCAGAGAGGAGAGGAACACCTATGGGCTCATCTCAGTCTTCACTCTCCTCCATGCTAGAGCCCTCCATAGAATCCCGGAACTTAGGGCTTCAGGACGATTTAGTAATAATAGCCCTGACCAGTTGACGTGGTGGCCAGTGACTATTCCAATGGGCATGCAACAAGCCAGGGTGTCTGTTTTGTCACCCTGTGCCAGCAGGCAGAGCAGTAAGGTCTCCAGGATCTCAGCCCCAGCAAGTCTCACCCGTCTTTCTAGTCATAGTGGCCCTGTAGCTGAGGAACCCACCTGCGCTGTGCTGACCTCAGTGGCCGCTGACCTCAGGGGCCATGGCTGGGGGCCCTGACTTTCACTTAGTCGGATCTACACCCTGCAGCCGCTCTTCCAGACCCTCTGGCGTTTTAGGGGCATCTCCCTACTCAGGCATGGGCCCCATCCATCAAGGATAGCAGCTACTGGCCCCACATTGGTGTGGAGGGCCCACCTGGGATTGCCCCACAGATCTCCACCCCGCTTCGGTGCATCCCATGGGCTCAGCAGGCATGGGGCTTCTTCCCACCTCCTGCCTAGCCCCCGCATCACTGTGCTGAGCTCCTGTGGGCTCCAACAGGGGTGGTGCCACGTCCAAGAGGCCCACAGGAGACCTGGAGCCAGCATGGGAGACACATGCAGTGGTGGCTGCCGGACGGGAAAACCGCTACTGTTTGTAAAGAACGTGCTGTTTACACAGCATTTTCCCTTTGCAGCCTCCAGCTAGCAGCCTCCATCTGACCCAAAACAAAGGGCCTTGATCCCCTGGTACAGCCTGCGCTCCAAGGGCTGGGCCAGGGGTTCAGATTCCTTCATGGATGAAGAGTGGATCTCCAGGTTGGCCACTCCTGGATTCCTTAGCTGGGGACTGTGAACACACGCTCTTTTTAGACCACCGGGCGGGTCTCAGGGCACACTTCCGTTACAGCTGCCAGGTGCATCTGCCACACGCAAGGATGCCCAGTGTGTCTGCCAAGACTCCACAGAGCCAAATACTGAGAAAACCACGTCACCTTCAGTGGGAGGGTCTGCACAGAAGATGGCAAGGGCGATGGGTGCAGGGATGGGGAAAGAACTTTGGCCAAAACTCAATCTGGGCCGGGCGCAGTGGCTCTCGCCTGTAATCCCAGCATTTTGGGAGGCCGAGGTGGACGGATCACCTCAGGTCAGGAGTTCAAGACCAGCCTGGCCAACATGGTGAAAACCCCGTCTCTACTAAAAATACAAAAAAATTAGCCAGGTGTGGTGGCGGGCACCTGTAATCCCAGCTACTCGGGAGGCTGCGGCAGGACAATCGCTTGGACCCGGGAGGCAGAGGTTGCAGTGAGCTGAGATCATGCCACTGCACTCCAGCCTGGGGGACAGAGGAAGACTCTGTTTCAAAAAAAAAAAAAAAAGAAAAACAACACACAAAACAACAACAACAAAACTCAATCTGCTGTAGGGTTCTTGTTCCTTTTAGTGAGAATAACACTAGTGATCAAATCTGAGTGTGAGAATGGGTGCTCAGTGCTACTGGGTGTCAGAGCTTCTAGGTTCTTTCAGTAGATATATTTCAAGTTAGAAAATATATCTTACAAATAAAGCATGAGTTCATATTAATATTTTCAGCGCAAACATAACACTGTAAAATTTTGCATGGACTTTTATTTTGTACTTGTATTCTTTTCTCACACTAAAAACCTTGGTTTACAAGAGCATTCAAAATTACTTATTTTATCTTATACATAAAATAATTTCAAAACAATAATTCTAATATTATTACTGACAAATTGCTAAATTCAGTTTAAGATTTTTAAATTTCTTTTGTACTTACACTATATTTCACTAAGCATGTAAATAAAGTAAATAAAAATACTGTGTTTTAAAGACCAAGAAATGGTTGTTTTCTGTATGTGGTTACGTTACCAATTTGATATACAATTAGGTTCACACATTACAGTTTTCAATTGTATAAACCGTTTTCTGTATGATTTAATTGAACGGTACAAAAATCAAAGAGGATTAGAGGGTTAATGATTGAACTGTCACTTTCATGCCATCATTTTCCCCCTAGGGTTCGCTGTTTGTAACCATCTTTGTTAGTTTCTGGTTTATCTTTAAAAAAAAAAAAAAATATATATATATATATATATATAGAGAGAGAGAGAGAGAGAGAGAGAGAGAGAGAGAGGCAGGGTCTTGCTTTGTGGCCCAGGCTGGAGTGCAGTGGTATAATTATGGCTCACTGCAGGCTCAACTTCCCAGACTCAAGGGATCCTCCTGCCTTGGCCTTCCAAAGTGCTGGGAATACAGGTGTAAGCCACTGCGCCTGGCCTCGGCTTTATCCTTCTTTTTGCTAATATATACACACATATTCTTATTTCCCCACATATATGACACAAGACGCGGCCATCTATTTCTTCTGTTCTGCCCCTTGATTTTTCCCTCGCGGATGTGATATCCCGCAGATCTTGACCTATCAGTCCACAGAGATCTTCCTCTTCTTGTGGCTTCATAGTCAGCCCACTACTCGTGGACATTTTGGTTGTTTCGATCTTGTGTTATCACAAATAATGCTGTAATTAACAACACTGTGCCCAGATCGCTCTGTGCTTATGCCAGTATAAGGTTTAGATAGATTTCTAGCAGATAGGGTTGCTAGATTGAAGGGCAAATGTAGCTGTCATTTTGTTTCTATTGCTTTTAAAAATGAAATCATGTTTTTAATCCAAAGTCAATCTTCACCCATGTCAGCATGCTCTCCTGTGTTAGATGAAATAATCTCTCACACCTGTTTGGGACTGTGGATTAGGTCTTCTTTTTTCTGCTGTCTTAAAAAGTAAACTTGTTATATATGGTATATTTATTCTGAAATTTCAGATGGATTCCCCTATTCTATACTACTGAATCTTTTCTCGTGTCTGGTCATGTTTTTGCTGTCTTCTCATTCACGTGTGTGTGTCTGTGTGTGCACTCATGTGCCTGTGTCTTTGTGCATGCTCTTGTGTGTCTGTGTGTGCACGTGTGTAATGTGTGTCTCTGTGTGTGCTCATGTGTGCCTGTGTTTTTGTGTATGCTCATGTGTGTCTGTATACGTGCATGTCTTTGTGCATGCTCCCAAATATTTGTGTGTACTTGTCTGCTTGTGTGTGTATGTACATGTTTGTATATTGGGGGGGCAGAGGAACAAGTGTGTGGCATTGAGCTGTGTCAGGGGCCAATATGGTTTCCAATATTGACATATTGGTTTTTTATATTTCTTAGAAATTTCTGGATCTCCCATTAGCATCTTTTAATCTGTGAACACAATTCAGGGGAAATGGTTTACCCAAGCTGTATATTTGGGGCTTCAGGCAGCAGTGAGGTACGGAAAATAAGGGAAGCGTGAACAGTGCTGCCCAGGGTCTCAGAGGTTCAGCTGCTTCAGGTGAGGACCAGGTGATGTCATCACCAGCTCCCCCTGGATGTGCGATGTGCTCACCTGTAAGGGCGGCTGACGGGTCCGACATCATGGTCACGGTCTCTGTCACCTGTTGAGTGTGCTGAGGGCAGGCCCAGCCCTGAGCATTTCACACAAACAGACCCCTTAACCTCAAGGCCACCCCAAGGCATGGGTGCCTCAGCCTGACTCACAGATGAGCAAACCTCAGCCCCAAGAGAGGAAGCCCCCGGCCCAGGCCCCGGCCCTCCACATGTGGTCACAGCCCCCGGCCCCACTGGGCCCTTCACTTGTGACACCCACGCCTCCCTGGCCAGGCTGCTGCCACTTGCTTGGCAGGGGCTGCTCATGCCTCCAGTGTTCTCACAGAACTGGCTGGTTCTGGCCACCAGCCAGGCTGCTGACCCCGAAAATGGAAAAAGCTTTGGGGTGATCCCAAACTCCCTCCACCGAACCCATGAGCCTGCCTGCACCTCATCTGTCCTGTTGGCTGGGGCTGGGGAATTGGGGGTGGTCGTGAAGGGTGGGAAAGAGGGTCTTCCTTCCCCAGCGTCCTGTTGGCTGAGGGGGGTGTTGTGGGATGTGGAGGAGGGGCTCTTCCTCCTCCAGGGTCCTGTTGGCTGAGGAGGGGTTTGAGGGAGGAGAGGGTCTTCCTCCCCAAGGATCCTGTTGTCTGGAGTGGGAGGGTGGCTCGCGAGGGGGTGGGGGAGAGGGTCTTCCTTCCCCTGAGGGAATGGGGGATCTGGGGGGAGGTATGAGGGGTGGGGGAGAGGGTTTTCTTCCCCAAGGGTCCTGTTGGCTGGGGAGGGTGGGTATTAAGGGGCTGAGGAGAGGGTCTTCCTCCCATGGAATCCTGGCCTCAAAAGGGTCTTTCTTCTCTGGATATCAAGTTTCTCGGTTTTAAAACTCAACGGATGAATCTAGGGGATCACCAAGGATTTACACAGCCTGGGGTATCTCTGTTCGTTCGTGCTGGTTACCCAGGGCAGGCACCTGGGGCCCAGCATATGTTTTGGGGGTAAGCGCTTCTTGGGTGCAGAGGCGCCGCCTGCCGCCCGCCGCCCGCGCCGCTTCCGCTCTCCGGCTCTAGAGGGCGCCCTAGCACAAGGAGCCGCCTCGCCCGGGCTGCTGGTGCAGGTTTCAACGCTCGTGCTCTCTCCCTGGGACCTTGGATGACAAAAAGCTGCGTGAATTTTTCACATGCATTCATGTGAAAGAAAACTGACTTTTAAAAAGTGTTATTAGAATTTGCAACTTTATGTTCTCAAAGTTTTAATTTTGCCAGAACTACAGACTTTCAGTATAAATGTACAGTGATATTTCCTGCCACCAACAATGGCTCTGTTGTCCAATGAACCGAGGACATCAAATACAGAAACACCAAAGACGCCACAAATTCAATTTGTTAGCAATCACACGAACAGTTGCTACCTGTCCCAGCAGGATCTGCTGCAGTGCCTTTTCTGTCTTCATCAGCAGGAAAACTCTTCTCGCTGGGCTTCTTTCCGTATGCCTTTTTGTATGACCTTTCAAGATTTCTGACAGCCTAAGTCACACACACACACACACACACACACACACACGTGTATCATATTTTAGATCAGGATAATTTTTACAGAGAAAGATTTTTTTTTTAACCGAGACAGAGTCTCGCTCTGTCGCCCAGGCTGGAGTGCAGTAGTGTGATCTCGGCTCACTTCAGCCTCCACCTCCCAGGTTCAAGCGATTCTCCTGTCTCAGCCTCTCAAGTAGCTGGACTACAGGCATGCACCACTGCGCCCTAATTTTTGTATTTTTAGTAGACATGGGGTTTCACCATGTTGGCCAACTGGTCTCGAACTCCTGACCTCAGGTGATCTACCTGCCTCAGCCTCCCAAAGTGCTGGGATTACAGGCGTGCATCACCACGCCCAGCGTGGTGATTTTTTTTTTTAATACTGTGTTTCCCCATGCATTTAACAAATTGTGGTTCCCTATGACAGTGGCTAGGGGTGAAGTCATGGAGCTCCGTGTGTTTGTGTGCCCATACCCACTCCCAGACAAGAGCATGGACGAGCTGATTGTAAAAACATGCCTTTGCCAAAGCGCAGTGCCATAGGACATCAAGGCCTCTGGGCTGCATCGCAGAAAAAATGTGCCACAAACTGGCCACTCTTCCCCATGCTCACTGAGGACACAGAATAGGAACAATTACTTACCGAGAAGAGAAAGGCTTTCATGAGAAAGAGAGAAATGAAGAAGCAGGCAAGATCATCCAAAGTCCATACCAGTGCTGCTGAAAAGGAAATTGTCTTTCCAAGCACAGCGACACCGCGAAACTCAACAAAGTGACGGGCTCAACGCAGTGGCAGCCTCTGCCAGGGCTCTGGGCCACCGGAATTCCCTGCCTCCTTCGGCTTGGCCACCACGAGCTCCTCCCCAGGGCTCTGTTCTGTCCTTGGCTTTCCTTTCTCAAGCAGTGCTCTGGATTTCCGTAGCCTGGCAACGAGGTTAGGGGGTGGTGGTTGAGGGAAAGAAGCCCTGAGCTGGTGGTTTGTCAAAGGCACTTGGAAACCCAGCCAAAGGAGTCCTGGCTGGGAGTTACGGAAAGGAGAGAGAGACATCACAGAAAAACCATTTTCTACATGCCTTTGTCTTTATTTTGCCTTGTCTTTCTTCCACTGGCACCTATATTAATCTCTCCTTGAGGTTAGCAAATACTCTTATTTTTAAATTAAGATACATAATTCACATACCATAAAAATCACCCTTGATACAATTCAGTGGTTTTTAGTATTTTTCCAAGGTTATGCAACTGTCTTCACAATCAATTTTAGAACATTTTCACTGCCCCATAAGCCACCCAGTACCCATTAGCAGTCACTCCCCATTTCCCTGTTGTTAGCTCCTGGCAACCACTAATCTCCTTTCTGGCTCCATAGATGTTATGGGCTGAAAGTGTGTCCCCCAAAATTCACATGTTGAAGCCCCAGCTCCCCATACCTCAGAGTGCGACTGTAGTTGGAGATGGGGCCTTTAAAGAAGTGACTAAGTTAAAATAAGGTTGGATGGGTGGGCCCTGATCCAAACTAACTGGTGTCTTTGTAAGAAGAGGGCACTAGGACTCTGGCTGTGCGGGCACAGAGGGGCGACCATGTGAGGACACAGTGAGAAGGCGGCCATCTGCAAGCCAAAGAGGGAGGCCTCACCAGGTGTCAGCTCTGCTGACACCTTGATCTCAGACTTCCAGCCTTCAGAACTGTGAGATGATAAGTTTCTTACTTAACCCACTCTGTCTGTGGCACTTGGTTATGGCAGCTCTGGCAGATGAACGCGATAGATTTTCCTCTTCCAGATGCTTCACATAAATAGTCATACAATATGTGGTCTTCTGCATCCGGTGTCTTTCACTTAGAATAACATTTTCAAGTTTCATCATGTCGTGCATATATATAAGTATTTCATTCCTTTTTATGGCTGAATAATGTTCCATTGTGTGGACAGACCACATTTTG
The DNA here is from genome assembly GCF_000001405.40 of Homo sapiens. Taxonomy (NCBI): domain Eukaryota; kingdom Metazoa; phylum Chordata; class Mammalia; order Primates; family Hominidae; genus Homo; species Homo sapiens. The sequence goes on from NT_187557.1 coordinate 57,689, forward strand.
ATTATCCACTCATCAATTGGCAGACATTTGGACTGTTTTCACTGTTTGACTATTATGAATAATGCTGCTATGAAAATCATATATAAGGTTTTTTGTGAACATATATTTTCGGTTATCTTGCGTAACTGATTCCACCTAGAAGGGGAATTTCTGGGTCATGTGATAACTCTATGTTTAACTTCTTAGGAAACCACCAAATTGTTTCCCAAAGCATCTGCACTACTTCACGTTCCCACCAGCAACATATAAGGGCTCCAATTTCTCCACATCGTAGCCAACACTTGTAATTGAAATCTTTTTTATTAGAGGCATTCTAATGAGTGTGAAGTGATATCGTGTTGTGGTCAAGGTATTCTTTGATATCAACAATGGTTAACACAACAGTTTCTTTTTCTGAGCCTCATCTTCCAATACTTGTACTTTTCACAAACATCAGAAACATAATCACTAGTCATGTGGCCCATTACTGAATATGACGTAATGATTTTATACTTCAGCCATATTTGCGTCATTGAACTTGTCTAACTGTGCATGTGCGTTTTTGTGTGTATGTTTGGTGTACATGCACATGGGCATGGTCAGGCATTCACATGTATGTTTATGCATGTCTGTACATGCATGCACTCGTGTATGTGAGCATGCCTGTGTGTATGTGTGCTTGTGTGCATTTGTGCAGGTGCATATTTGTGCATGTGTGCATGTGTGTGCATTTTATGTGTGCATGTGTGTTTCTACATGTTTTTGTGTGTACACATTTGTGCATATGAGTGTATGTACATTTTGTGTGTGCAGGTGTGTTTGTACTTTTTTGTGTGTGCACATTTGTGCATGCGTGAGTGTGTGTGCATTTTGTGTACATGTGTGTTTGTACTTTTGTGTGTGCACATTTGTGCATGTGTGAGTGTGTGCATTTTGTGTGTACATGTGTGTTTGTACTTTTGTGTGTGCACATTTGTGCATGTGTGAGTGTGTGCATTTTGTGTGTACATGTGTGTTTGTACTTTTTTGTGTGTGCACATTTGTGCATGTGTGTTTGTGTGCATTTTGTGTGTGTATGTGTGTTTGTACATTTTTTTGTGTGTTCACATTTGTGCATGTGTGCGTGTGTGTGCATTTTGTGTGTACATTTGTATTTGTACAATTTTTGTGTTTGCATATTTGTGCATGTGTGAGCGTGTGTGCTTTTTGTATGTGCATGTGTGCTTGTACATTTTTTGTGTGTTCACATTTGTGCATGTGTGAGTTTGTGCATTTTGTGTGTACAGGTGTGTGCACATTTTTGTGTGTGCACATTTGTGCATGTGTGTGTGGATTTGTGTGTGCATGTTTGTATATGTTTGTATGTACATGCATGTGTGCACAAGCTTATGTGTGTTTGTGTAGACATGTGTTTGTGCATGTGCATGTGTGCTCTCCTCCCACACAACTAGATCTCCTGGTCACGAGTAATTGTTCCTTTGACCATCCTTTTCCATTACTAAGCTGCCAAATCACGGGTGCCTAACTGGCACCAGGTGCTTCTGGGACAGTGCTCTTCCAGAAGAGCCTAGAGAGCTCACTCTGACCACGGCCCCCAAGCTGCTCCCCTTAACAACTTCCAGAACACTCTGGGGTAAAGATAAAATGAATTCATATTCTGTCTGAACCCCCAGTCCTCAACATAGCTCTCAGACTCCCTTTCTTTTTGAGACGGAATCTCGTCGTCACCCTGGAGTGCAGTGGCTCCTTTTTTTTTTTTTTTTTTTGAGACGGAATCTCGCCCTGTCACCCAGGCTGGAGTGCAGTGGCGCAATCTCAGCTCACAGCAACCTCCACCTCCTGGGTTCAAGCAATTCCCCTGCCTCAGCCTCCAGAGTAGCTGGGATTACAGGTGCGTGCCATCATGCTCAGAAAATTTTTTTTTTTTTGTATTTTTAGTAGAGATGAGGGTTCACCCATCTGCCCACCTGGGCCTCCCAAAGTACTGGGATTACAGGCGTGGGCCACCGCACCCGGCCAGCTCTTGTACTTCCTATTCAGCCTCCTGAGACGTAGTTCTGTTAGAAATTCCCTCACATCTTCCCAAGGCCACCAGCCCTCTATGATCTGCTGCCACTGAACCTCACTCTCTCTAACCTTGTCTCCCATTCCCTGAAGCTCAGTTTCATGCCCAGAAGGCCCGACTCATCGTCCGTAAAGTTCTTTCATAGCTCCCTTCACCGTCAGCCCCTTCATACCTTCTAGCTGTGCTCGGACAGCCCCTCTCGGTGAGAGCTTTGCTGAGCACCTTATTAAAATTGCAGACTTCACCCCACCCTCATCCTCCTCTCCCTGCACTACTTTATTCTTCTCCATACTGCTGATTACATTCTAACAAACTGTTTATATACCTGATTTACTTCTGTACAATTCCAAATATAGCTTTAGAAATAATTAACTTATCCAGCTGGCTTCCTGGCTGTCTCCCTCCACCAGACCCAAGCTCCGCTGCCGGGGCTGCTTCACTGTCATGTTCTCTGCCTGCATCCCTGCTGCCCAGAACACTGCCTGGCACACAGGAGGCACTCAATCGGTGTTTGTTGAATTGAATGTGTGTGACACTGGTCAGAGGAGGAAGGAGTAACAGATAAGCTGATAAAAACCATGGTCACTCTAGTGATCATTTTAACCCCAACAAGGGTGAAAATGAGAGGCAATAGCTTCAAGTTCAAGGCATCTAGAAATGCACTTTGAACATCTTAAATAAAATTGTATTAAACGGATAAAAAATATATAGTTCAAATATTTTTATGTCAACTTGACTCTATGCTCTTGAAGCAATTATTCAGAGTATCTGAGTTCTCAATGAACATCTTTCTAACAAGTCTTGGACTTTTCCGTAGTAACAAAAATGGAAGAGCTTCAGAGCACCAGGGCGGGGGGCAGGGGAGCACTACCTGTCTGAGCTCCCGTGTCTTTGTGGGAACGTGGGAATAACAATGTCTCACAAGACTGTGCTGGGGATCAGATGTAATCATGTAAAAAGGAGCTGTGAAGCATACAATGCTAAGCAAACCTTGTTATTCTCACTATGACTACTTCCAGGCTCATCTCCACACTACTGGGGTGAGAAGGGATTTTGTGTAAGGACCGAGCACTTAGCCAGCAGAGAAGTCATTTCCACAGATGGTGTCCTCTGAGACTGCAGGTCTTTGCGGGATAACAGCGCCGTCTTCCTGAGCTGTCCGGAAAGGCGATGTCCATGGGACCCAAGAGCTCAAAGTCCCACCAACCCCCTGAGGCCCCAGTTGCAGCCCCTCAGCCCCAGCCTTTCTGGAGAGGTCTGCTATTTTCTGTTCAAATCCAGAATTCCTAGCTCCTGAATTATTTTGTTTGGACCATCTCCTTGGGTGCATTCGCCCAGCTGTGCTGAATGGCGTTGCGGGGTCTACGGGAGAGCAAGTGTGAAGACCGGAGGCAGTGGCAGCCCGAGGGTGGGGCTGGAGCGGATGGTGAAGGGTGAGGATGGAGCCAACAACCCACCAAGGAACATGGAGCTGAAGGGCCTCTGCACACTGGGACACCTGTTCTCAGTCTTTATCCTCTCAGCTGGGTTGTGCGAGGTCCCTCCTGCCTCTGCACCTGGGGGATCAGAGAGAAGTGGCATTGAGCCTGGGAGCCCTACTGGGAGGCCAATGGGGCAACGCAGACCATGGAAACGCCACGGCACCCTGGAGGAAGCTACACCCTAGAATGGGGCTGACAAAGAGGGAGCTGAGGAGTACACCAGAACCATGAGCTCTCAACCCACTGCAGACGAAAAGACAGCACTGTCTGCACGCAGCCTTCAGCAGCTAAGGCAAGGAAGAGATGCTTGAAGAATCATGTCTGCTGAAAACCCAAGGATCCATGGAGCTGAAGAAAGAGGAGGGTCCAAGGGGGGCCGGAAATAAAGAGACCTGCGCTCAATCAACCCTCAAAGGGAGTTCACCAATTTCTTAGAAAGAAGGGCACTTACGTTAAGTTCATTCTTTCAAAATGATTTCCTGAGAGCCTCTGTATTTCTTCATGAAACAAGCTTAAAGAGAAGCTCCCCCAGTGCACACCAATACGTTAGTATATTGTTCTATCTTTGAATATTTAGATTCGCATTAACTGAAAAGTAAAACTACTCACAGGTCGCAGTCCACAGTGTGGCTTAATCACTTCCAGGCTTTGTATTGTCACGTTAGTGTTCTGACTTGAGGCAAAACTGAATCCTTTGAGGCTATGAGACCATAACAGACAACTGCGTAGAGACCCTGGTGCCCAGAGAATGAGCGGAGCCCTAAGCAGCTGCCCTCCTGAGCTCTATCTTCACAGGCCTCGCTCCAGCCTGTGCACTGCACCTGCGTCTGACTCACAGGTTCCTGATTGCCAAGATGTGTTACAGGAAAACTGTGCACACAGGCATCTTATCACCTTGTTTAAAAAGTATGTTTCTCCTTTTCTCTGGACCGGATCCTAAATCAGAGCGAGTCATTGGTATCTTGATTATTGTCTTGTGTCAAACAAAATGTTTATTTCCCCCGTGGAATGTAAAATTCCCAGAGAGCATTCCTCTCTGGCTCGTACTCATACTGGTCATTCCATCTGCTATAATTTGAATGTGTGCCCCAAAGTTCACATGCTGGAAGCTTCATCCCCAGTGCAACAGTGTGGGGACTGTGGCCTTTAAGAGGTGACTGGGTCATGAGGGCTCTGCTTAGTGAATGGATGAAGGCTGTTATCACAGGAGGGGTTCTGTCGGGATTGGGCTGGGCTCTGCCCCCTTTCCCTCTTTCTCTCTCTTCCGTGCTGTCTTCTGCTTAGTGAATGGATGAAGGCTGTTATCACAGGAGGGGTTCTCTCGGGATTGGGCTGGGCTCTGCCCCCTTTCCCTCTTTCTCTCTCTTCCATGCCGTCTTGCCCTTCCGCTTTCCACCATGGGATGATGCAGCACAAAGGTCCTTGCCAGATGCTGGCACCTGAGTATTGGACCTCCCAGTCTCAGAGCTGTGAGAAATAAATTTATTTTATTTATAAATCACCCAGCCTGTGGTATTTATTCTATAATAGCAGCACAAACAGTCGAAGACACCACCCAAGAGGAGTTAGCTGTATTTTACTTAATGCCTAAGTTTTTAGGAACAAGATTGCTCAGGAAGAAATAATGCGTTCAGCGGTGGTGCATTCCGGTAATAAGCTCCTAAAGCACCTGTCAGGAGAAAAATCACATCTTGGACAAACAACACCTGAAGGTATTTTATGGGCAGTCCAGCGTGAGATAACTGCAGAGGCTGTAATCTAAACGTGTGCTGCATCTTGGCTGTGGTCTCCGGGCTGAGTGAGGCTGGTGGTCAACACCTTGAGGGGTGCTTTTATGGCATTAGCGGGATCTCATGAAGACGCTGATTTTCCCACTGCTTCACGCTTCTGCTGCTGTAGGACCTGCCCCAGGGGATGACAGAGCCCCTTTTACAGGCTTGTTCACATGAGGCTGCCCACGGCAGTTGCCAGCACTGTCCTGTGGGAGGGTGGGAGCTCACTTACAGTGTTTGTCAATTTCTGTGGGGATTTGAAGCTTCCATGTGAAATCAACTGGCTCAGGAAGTTTCTGAAAAGCTCACACAGAGTTCTGCCCCAGTAGGATAACCAGCTCCCACCGAAAAGCTCACACAGAGCTCTGCCCCAGTAGGATGAGCAGCTCCCACTGAAAAGCTCACACAGAGTTCTGCCCCAGTAGGACGAGCAGCTCCCACACATGCGGCACCACCAGGGCAGAAGGTGTGCTCCTCACCCGGCCCAGCGTCTCTGTGAACCTGGACATGCTACAGCTTTGTGCTGGGGGAGACCCCTCTGGAGAGGTGAGTCTGCACCCCACAGCTTCATGTAAACTCCTTGAGCCTCACCTCCCTGAGGATGTATGAGGCGGGCCTGTGCCCTGGCCATTCCCTAAATGGCGACTAAGAGCACCGTGGGCATTGGCGGGATTTCTGGCAGGGCACTTGCTGATACAAAGGGAGGCAGGAGCACATTCAGCAGCCTGGTCCACAGGGCGGGGGGCCTGGCCATTGCTGTCTCACATCCCGTGAGGGCAGGCTCTGCTCCTTGCAGAACCCCAGAGAAAAAACCATTCCCTCTCACTTCCTGGCTTGCAGCCCCATTCCCCCATCTTCAATCCACGCCCTGACCCCACCACCACCCATCTCCAGCCCATCTCTGCCCTGCCAAGTTCAGACCCAGCGAGAGCTCATGGTCCCTCCTCTTTGTGGTCTTGGTTTTCTTCCCAGGAGTCCATAGTCCCTTCTCTCTGGATGAGGCTCTCACTCTGTGCCCCCAGAACTGTCTGCCCCCTGGGACTGTGTCTGCCCCCCTGAACTGTGTCTACCCCTTGGCTCTCAGTGCAGCAGTAGGTGACCGTGGCACGGGAGGCATCCAGGTACCAGGAACTACACGCAGCTGGGTAGGAGGGGTGCTGCCCCCGGCCTCAGCAAACCCCTCAGAGACAAGGCTACTTGGATTATAGCAATTTTATATAACTGCTGAGCAAGCTGAGACAATGACTTTTCAACTTTTCAGTACTTCTATTTTGTGCCCTATTAACTAATATTCAATTTTTAATGCCAGTTGTATTTGTTGGAAGAAAATAATAATAGTAAAGAGACAGCTATTAGGAACATTATGGGTATTATGCTGTTTTCCTGTGATTGAATACTACATATTCTCTGGTTTCTGTAGCTAACTTTTCCGAAGGAAACACATTTATCCATGTGAATGTGTATTTGTACATTTTAGGCTTAAGATCTAAGTTTCTGAAATCGTGTGGTTATCTTTTTAATTGCTGGAGACTCTTAAAAGCTGCACCTTGAGAGGACTTCAGCCTTCACGCACATCATGACTTTTTCTCCTTTTTAGCATTGGCTGCGGGTTCTGAGTTAATGGAATGCCACCGTCTTGTAAATTCCCTGGAGGTTTCCACGGCAGCGCAAGGCCAGAGCTCCAAGACCCAGTTCTATGCCTGGTGAGAGTGTGACTGAGAAACAACTACAGCTTTGAAAGAGATTTCTCTGAAACGATGAAAGTCAGTCTTCCACTTTTGAAAACATTTGCAGAACGAATTTCTTGCTCCGCCCACGGCACGCGGAACACATGCTCTCACCAGGAGGAACTGTGCAGCTTAGGGCCCTTCGTCCTACCCAGGACTGCAGGACAACCTGCAGACCCTCCTGGCTTGGGCTCGGTACGAGCTACGCTAGAAATTTAGGGAGGAAACTGGCAGCTGTCTGCAGCAAGGAGAAATCGGGATGGGAGGGGAGGAAAGAACGAAGACCAGAGGAAAATGAGGGATAAGTGTGGGCTGCGTCATTCGTTCCTAAGCAATTCGCTCTCCCGGGGCCCTAATCTCTTCTAGAGGATTAGCATAAGCTGGCTTTCACTGCAGCTCTTTATGTTCTAAAATAAAAGCTGATGACTTGTTATTGGAATTTCTTCCTAGCTCCATAGGCAGGTGCTGTTTTAATTTCCTGGTGGTGGGGTGGACAGCAAGGAATGCGGCACTGCTGGATGGACTTAGCAGTCACCTGCCTCTCCTCCAGCTCTGCAACGTATGTAAGGACAACCGCAGCCACCCCCTCACACGCGAAGGAAAGCCCTCTGTTCGCAAAGGAAGATGGTGTTATTATCAATTTTGTTTGTCACTTCCAAATTCAACTTTTTCTTGCTAGTCTTTCAAGCCTTTTATGTTTTGTTTTAGAGGTAATCTTTGTAAATAGTGCTATTTCTCTGTATTCGCAGTCCAATCCTTGAGCCACCAAGGCACCTCTCCCTGGCTAGCAGGCTCACTCTTGCATCATAACTCCTACCTCCGCCGGCTCAGTCCGTGCTCCCAGGGCCAGGGGAGGCCATGCCAGCTCAGACCTCACCTCCCCAGGGTTATTTTATTTCTAGATATGGGTAGCCTTTGCAAAATGTTCACCTTTTGCTCCTTGATGAAAAAATCCAAAATATCAGTAGATTACAAAAGGAAGCAATATTACCATTGAAATACCTTCTGCATATTCTAAATAGGAAAGAGAAATCGTGCTTCTCATCATATCTGGGCTTATCCTCTGAGAGTATATGTAACCGGAGAGGCACGGATTTGGAACTTACGTGTTTAGGAAGTGATGAGGCTGTGTCCCTTCTTCAGTAAAACCAACTGTCCTTCCTCCTTAGCCCTGAACCTGGGGAGGGATAAAGGTGAACATGGTGGGAATCTGAACTCCCCGCACCAGTCCAGGCACATTCATCAGAGCAGTGTTTTCCAAAGCTCAAGTCTGAAACCATTAGTGGTTCATGTCATCAATTTAGTGAGTACGGCTGGCAATTTTTTTAATGGAATGGAAGAGATAATAATGTAATAGATTCTATACAATATGGACTAGAATAGAAGAAATTGCATTTCACATAGAGTGAGTATAGTTTCCTTAAATTATTTGCTTCAGATGCACTCACATACATACACACTTGATCACAATTATGTGTATTTCTTACTGGAGGTCAGACAGTCAAGGTCTGGAAGCCACTGTATTTTAGGAAGGAAAAGGAAAAGCAAACCTTCCTCCCAGGGAAGCAGATGAGGATAGAGGAAGCGGCAGTCAGGCTCTGGGGGGCTCAGGAAATGCTGGGGTTCCCTCCACAGTTTGTGTCGTCTGAGCACCCACCTTTGGAAATACAGTGAGGAGTCAGGGAGGAGACTAGGAAGGAGATTTCGATCTGTACGTGCCAGGTGGAGGCTTGGAGACCATGCCACCTTAAGCCGAGGGGCAGAGGTCACAGGCCATGCCTTCTCCTGGAGTGGGATGAGGTGGTCCTGATCATCACTACTCAGAAGAGCAGGTGTGGCGCCCACACAGGAGAGGTCAGTGCAGAATGTGGGTTGGGGCTGCCTGCCCTGAGACCGGAGCCCCAGGAGCAGGGCCTGCCCACTGTGTTGCCATGGCAGCCTGAGATGCTTGGCCATCTGCATGCGACAAGATCCTATTCTTCCTCCCTCCGCGATGGAAACTACCTGCTCTGCAGGGGCCTGGGCAATGCTGCAAGCCCTGAATCCCACCCCACGGGGAGGGTGGGAGCAGAATGGAAGCCCCCAGCCCAGGGCAGACACTGGCGGACCCACCTGGCGTACCGACCTGTGCTCATCAGCAGGCAAAGCTCAGCACTGCCTCTTTTCCTGTGACATGAGGGTTTTGTTTTGAGGACTAGGAGGGGAAAGACAGTCATGTTCCCTCTGAGACAGCCTGGACCTTCCAGAATGGACCGCAGATTCAGGACCAGGTCTCCCACACCTCAATGATGATGGAAGGAGATAAAATAAAATAAAATAAGCACACTGCTCACCCCAAGGGTGCCTCTGCGGTTCCTCCTACTGCAGGAGGACAAAAAAGCCACAACAGCAAGCCCGCCAGCAGCCCAGGAGACACGGGCATTGCGAGGTCCAGCTCCTGATGAAGACTCCGTCTCTCCATTCAGAGCCTGCTTCATCTTCTTTTTTTTTTTGAGACAGAGTCTTGCTCTGTCGTTCATGCTGGAGTGCTGTGGTGCAATCTTGGCTCACTGCAACCTCCGCCTCCTGGATTCAAGCAATTCTCCTGCCTCAGCCTCCTGAGTAGCTGGGATTACAGGTGCGTGCCACCACGCTGGGCTAATTTTTTTTAATTTTTATTTTTTGTATTTTTAGTAGAGATAGGGTTTCTCCATGTTGGTCAGGCTGGTCTCAAACTCCTGACCTCGTGATCCACCCACCTCGGCCTCCCAGAGTGCTGGGATTACAGGCGTGAGCCACCGCACCCGGCCGCCTGCTTTATCTTTTCAGCAAGGATTTGCGTTTTGATCTTTCAGTCATCGAAGAAAAGAAACTGAGATTCTTAAAATACCAACGGGAAAGGAAATTGTTTAAGAAAACCACATCCTGAGGCCATGTCTGGAGAGTCCTGTGTTTTCCAAATCCACCATATTTTCTTTTTATCAAAAATCGAATCCATTTTCAGTGAGTTCATGGTACCCTTGAAATCTAGAATGCAGATAATAATCAGAAAACAACCAATGTTATAAAATGGGCAAAAGATAAGAAGAGGCACTTTACCAAAGATCTGAGGAGAGCAAGTAAAGACGGCACTCAGCAGTGTCAGTCATCAGGAAAGTGAAAATCAAAAGCACAGCAAGATGCGACCGCAGCCCCGCGGAAACAGCTCAGACCCAAATGGGCCCTGCCAAGGGTGGCCAGGCCGCTGCTCACCATGGGGTCTCCCTCTTTCTTGAGACAGAGTCTTGTTCTGTCGTCCAGGTTGGAGTGCAGTGGGTCAATCTCGGCTCACTGCAACCTCCGCCTCCTGGGTTCAAGTGATTCTCCTGCCTTAGCTTCTGAAGTAGCTGGGATTACAGGCAAGCGCCACCACGCCCGGCTAATTTTTATATTTCTAGTAGAGACGGGGTTTCACCATGTTGGCCAGGCTGGTCTCGAACTCCTGACCTCAGGTGATCCACCCTCCTTGGCCTCCCAAAGTGCTGGGATTACAGGCGTGAGCCACTGCTCCCGGCTGCCTCCTTCTTAAAAGTTGACTTTTCAGGGCTACCTTTCGCCCTCTGTGGTTCTTATTCTACACTCTTCCTTGGGGCTCTCAACTCCTCCTTCTGCTTTCGTTGCCCCCAGGATGCTGATGACTCCCACATCCGTACCTCCAACTCTGACCTCTCCTCCCTACTCTAAACTCTCACCCACCTGGAGGTTCCATCAGCACATGAAACCCAATATTTCCAAATCTGAGCTCATTGCCTTCCCCTAATCCTCATCTCCCTGCTATATTCCTTGTCCACCCAGATCAGAAGCCTTGGAGCCACTGACCCTTCTCCCTCCAGCTCTGCCTCCATCCATCACTAAGTCCTAAGAAACTCACCCTACAAATCCCACCAGAGTCCACCCCTCCCCTTCCTCTCCACCACCACCCTTCACTTCAGCCTGCATCATCTCTAGCCCAGCCTTACCTAAATTCCTCCTGTTCCCTCTACACCTCCCCTTGCCTGCAGGATCTTTCTACAAATCTGATGGGCCATCGCCACCCCACCTGCCCATCTTCTAATGTGCCCCACTCCCATGGCAGTCAAACCCCAGGGTGTAAGAACCATCCAGAAGGAAAAGACAATCTCATATCCCAGAGTTCCCGCTTCAGTCATTCAAAGCAGGCTCGAGAATCCACTCAAATAAAACCCCAGGTGACTGTGATGCCGGGTGGGGAAGGGAAGTTAGGAGGAGAGGCTTCGAGAAACTCTGGAGATATTCTTTATTTTTGGTCCTTAGGAGTGGGGGTGGGAGGGCTTGCTACTAGAAGCCAGTGGGTAGAGGCCAGGGATGCTGGCCAACATCCCGCAGTGCACAGAACAGAACACCCCACTCACCAAGGAAGACCTGCCTAAATGTCAGTGGTGTGGGGACTGAGATGCCCTGGCCAGGAGGATGAGGCTCCATCTCCTCAGTGCAAATGCAAAGCCCTGCCTGACCTCCCAGGTTGATTTCCCCAAAGAAAAGACACTCCACAAGGCCCAGCAGGGTGCAGCTCTGCACTCTGCATGCCGCGCCTCCCCACCCACCTTTGTTACTAGGAAACATCGACCTCCCTTTGGCTACCTGGTAGACCTTTGCCTGTTCGGGCTCTTCCCTGTCTCCTTCAGGTGTCAACTGATACCTCTCCCCTGCCTCCCATACACAGAGTGAGGCAGGAACCACACTCCCAGGGTGGACCAGAGCTGGCCGAGTCTTTTGCAGCTTCCTACTGGGCAGGGGACCCACACCTGCTCATCAGAAATTGTTGCTTGGAATGTGATACCTGAGGGAGTGACACAAAACTGTGGTGGCCGTGACCAGTCAGGAATACCACAGCGCTGGTGCAGACCTGGGCAGCAGGTCCTGTGGCACAGAAACGGGGGTGGCATTTTAAGTGGCTGTTCCTGTGTGTGACTCAGTCCACAGCTCATCTCCCCTAGCTCCAACTCACTTCTCCAAGCAGCCTCCCTAGGCTCCCTGTTGACTTTGTGAGCAAGTTAATGGTTTTCCAATTAATTGTTATTCTCTTTTTTTACTTAAGTTATTTAGAAATTACTTACTGCTTTTTGTAGCCAAGAGTCAAATTTGGCACAGCCTCTATTACTTAGCGTGCTTGGCACTAGAAAGAACTCAATAAATATTTATTGTGTAACCGTTACTGTTAAGAAGGAAAATAGAGAGAATACATTAGAACCAAAAACCAGGCAAACCTGAAATGTCCCATAGAAGGGCAAGATGGCATTCACCTTCTCAGAGGGCGTCACAGCACCAGGTGTGGGATCACAAGCCCACTGGCAGAAAATACACTGTCTGCCTCTGTGCTGACACACTGGCTTTGTGAGCGAAGTGGAGATGAATTAGATGATGGCCTCACCTAAGCTAAAGAATATTTTCCAAAGTAAAGTCAGAAAAGAAGTTGAAGTTGGGAACTTCAACTGTGAATGAATGATGTGGTACACCTTACACAGCCCTGGGGTTGAAAGGAGCCAGCCTATGCTTGTAGAGTGTGTTAAAATCATTGTTAATAACCTGCAGCAGATAAATGAGCACTGTTTAAAACTAATCATTTTAATTGAAAATAACAAAGGAGAAAAATTAGTAGGGCAGAGGTTTAATGATGGAAATAAAATGAACCCTGAAGAAAAGACACAATATAAATGTGTATTGGGCATGCCAAATGTCTTAGTCTGTTTGTGTTGCTTTAACAGAATACCACAGACACAGTAATTTATAAAGAAGTGAAATTTATTTTTTCATAGTTCTGGAGGCTGGGAAGTCCAAGACCAAGGTGCCCACATTTGGTGTCTGGTGAGGACCTTCTTGCTGTGTCCTCACATGGCAGAAGGTGGAAGGGTGCGAGAGCAAACTAGCTACCTGCTGTATCAAACCTCTTTTCTAAAGGCCTTGATCTCACTCGTGAGGGAGGAACCCTCATGACCTAATCACCTCCTAAAGGCTCTACTTCCTAATAGTATCATATTGGCAACACCTGAATTTTGAAGGGGACCCATTGAAACCATAGCACCAACTAATTTGAACACATTCTTTCCTTCAATTTCTCAAAAGCCAAGTTGAGTCTTTTAATCATAAGAAAGCATACTTAGAAGATTCTAAACATTTCATACAGGCACAAATGCACACAGAGATCCTTTAAAAGGTAAACTGATCTTCCTTTAGAATAATACTGCTACTCAAAGGAAGGACAGAAATTGACAGTAAGGGCTTAGACATGGCAAATTGAATAGAAAAATTTTTTGTCTTGTCATACCTAATATAGAAAACATTGGCTTGTATTTTGTAGGTCTTTGTAAACTTCCTTGAGATTGAAAATTTAAAAAAAATTTAATACTTTACAGCAGATAATTTGGGAAACAAATAATAGGTTGATCTATGGAAGTAACAGTTTGTGGAAAACTGATTTGCTTGGTATTTTACTTCTAGCATAACAATCTTCAGGGGGAGAAATATCGAATGAAGGTATTGCAACTGGGGCCAAGCTCAATGTGCCAGAGTGGACTGTTGGTTTACAGTATTCTGCTGCTTCTCTCCACTGGGTCCATCCCTACTAGGGAAATTAAGAACCTCTCAGAAAGTTGAGCCAAAAGCCACGAGAACAACAGCCTAGGGACCTAATTCCAAGGAGGAGAACCATCAGGAGCTGCTCAGGGAATGTTCTCATTCCGAAGAGGCCCTGGCAGCGCCTGCCTGCTTAGGTTTTGGAAGTGCTACGTCCTGGTGACTGCCGTGAATCTATTCCCAGGGAATGTGCACTGCCCATGTTGGGTTGTTGCTCAGCTGTTGTGTATTGAGAGTGTGGCTGGAACGTGATCATCTCTAATTCATTACCTAATGGTTGGTTTAATTTGTAGGTCTCTGGATCGAAAGGTGTCACACCTAGACCTGGTGTAAAGATCATCACAAGATCTGAGACTTCAAGTCTGATAGGGCTTCTAGGGTGTTTCCCCCGGGAAAGAAGGAGTGCATTTTGCCTGTGGAAATAAATGGAGCAAATATTTGTGATAGGGAGAGGAAACTATAGCAGATAGCTTTGTTCATTCAAAACATTCTCTGTCCACCACTACCAAGCTCATCCAACGGGAGAATTTCACTTCCCATGGACTGGTGTGGACTGGGTGACGGGGGTCAGCATGCTCCCAGCAGGACTGCATGAGTGGACACAGTTTCACCACAGCTCTTTTCCCCTCTGCCCTAAGAATGTGTCGGGGATGAGGCCGCTCCTTTAGCCTGAATCCCCATGTGACATGGCCGTGGAGAAGGGGCACGCCCGGGCTACTGCTGATGCGTTTGTGAGCTGATGAGGTTTGGGGACCGCTCCAGCACAGCTAGACGAAGCTGACACACTAACTCACGGGAATGGAGGTCTAGTTCCTGTTGTTGTTGTTTGCATCATGTATTTACACTGAGCTTCCTTAAAAACCAGGGTAGCATATGAGAAGGCAAATGCTGTGATAGGGCTTCGCTGATACTGTGATGAAGGGAAGAAAAGAATATGAAAGCTTATTGTGCGCTGAAGCCCGTGAGGGTGGGAGCCTGAGGCCGCAAGTGAAGTCCCAGAAGCAGAAGGTAAGGCCCCCAGACCCATGTTCCCACAGGCGCTGTGCCAGGCGCTGTAACCCGGAGGCAAGTAAGGGGCTCCAACTTCAGACACTCAGAGGCTAGTGAGACCGTTATTGATAAAAGTGATGCAGGTTTGTGAGGCAAAAGGAGTTTACTTTTATATCTTCAGAAACTTTGCCTTCATTGACCTTCATCTTAGAATGCCCTTAGGACAATTTCACCAAGGCTCATCTTGCAAAGAGCCTCAAAACATGTCTCTCCTCCAGGAATCAAACCAGCTCTGTTGCTCCCAGCCCTCCCTGACCTTGACCTCCCAATGTTAAGAACACACATCTGTCTCCTCCACCCAAGTATGAACTCCAGGAAGTCGAAGACATGTCTATTCACCTTTGATCACCCAGTCTCTGGCTCAGCATCTGGTCCACGTGAGGCTTCCATCCATGTTTGTTCTGTGTCCATGCCACAGTGAGGAGTACGGAGCAGTACTTGGCATTGATCCTGACTTCAAGGGTCTTATCACTGAAAAGAGTTGATGAATCAGCAAAGGTGGTTAAAAATTCAGTGTAAACTGTGTGGTAGGTAGGACTAGAGTAGGAAGTAAGAAAAGCGTGGGTACTGCTACCCTAATGTCCCTGGAGCAGGCACTCACAAAGAGCCAGACAGATGAAGGAAGGTGAAGATTCACTAGATAGAGTGAGGCTTGAACTGGACCCTGGAGGAATTGGGTTGGGGAAGGAGAAAGGAAAGAGCTACTCGGGCAGGGAATGACATGAGCGAACCCAGGGAAGAAGAAAAGGGTGCAGTGTTTGTTGGCATGAAAGGAGACCAGGTCTAGACGGTGCATGGAGGCAGCATGAGGCCAGGGAAGGGAAGGAATGGAAGTCAGGCAGGGAGGGGCATCTGGGGCAGGAAAATGGCATGCCACTATTGCAGCCTTTTGAGCAAGGCCCAGAAACACCTCCTCCTTACACGCCACACACCATCTCCAGCTCTTAACATGCTTGTGCCCACAGTGGCAGCCACGTGGCTGGGCCTAGGGAAGCCTGGTGGCCTCTTGCAGGGACCAAGTGACACGCAGCCCTTAGGAGCCAGATATAGCCAGTGCAGTCCAAGAGTGCCTTACAGCCATTGGTGGAACAATAAATGCTACTTTACTCTGCCTCACAGGGTCACTCCCCCGTCCCTGGGCCTCAAGCCTCCTCTGCTTGACGTTACCTAGGAGACTGTCCTGCAGGCACTTTTGGTAGTAACACTGCCTCAATTCAGTAAATGAAAGTTTCCAATCCAGCCTAGGCAACATAGCAAGACCTCCATCTCTAAAAACAGTAAAATAATAAAACAAATCAAAATAGCCAGACATGGTGGCCCGCACCTGGAGAATCCCTTGAGCCCACCAGTTTGAGGCTGCAGTAACTGTGATCACACCACTGCACTCCAGCCTGGGCAACCGAACAAGACCTTGTCTCTAAAAGATAAAGAAAGAAAGAAATAGTTCACTCTGGATGACCCTCCCAGCAGGAGGGGTCGAGGGTGAGAAAGTCTGAATTTGAACATGTATCTGATTGCTCACTCCTCTTCTGTATCACCATGAAAACATTTAATAATAGTGCACTGTCCTTTTATAAAGAAGATGGTCTTGTCCCTGAAGGAAGCGCTTTGAGGACGAGCTTTAGGGCCAGAAGGACCTGGGTTTCTAGGGTGCTTTTCCAGCCATCAAGATGGATTTGAGGGGCCACCTCGAGGCTTTGTTTGGTCCCCACAGTGAACATAGAATAAGGCCCCCAGAGATGGGTCTGTGGTCAGGGAGCTAGAGGAAGTCACCTGGCCACCCTGGGACTCCATTCATTACAAGAGGCTCTGGCAAGGATGATAAGAGCCCCCAAAGGCAGGAGGCCCCTTCTACCAGGGCATTTCATTAAGGGTGACTCTGGTGACTTAACTCCAAGGTCACATGGATAAAAAGTGGAAGGAGAAGGATTCTTCCCAGATGCGTCTGGCTCTGTTGGGAATGCCCTGCCTCCCTTTAGACTTCAACTGCCTAATTTCTAAATGGCATCAGAAAGATCTTAACCGCCTGAGGCGGGGAGCTCCAGTTAGCACCTCGGGATCCTCTGGCTACACACTCTAAGGGGCTTGTCCCATCCAGCCTGGCCTACCTGGCTCCATTCTGTTCGATATGAAGCAGTGTCTTAGACAAGCGTCAACACCACTGAAAGCCTGAAAGCAGCCTCCTCCATTCACCTACCGGGCAGTGACACTTCTCGGGAACTCTGTCCTCACCTGTTAAACCCGGAATGTGGAGTTTTCCTGGGGCCTACGTTTTCCAGGTCTCTCTTCTATAAACGATGATGAGCAAGTAAACAAAACGGGCATGGATTTTAGGTTGTTGGCGTGGATGATATTTTAAAGTAACTTGTAATGAAGCTCCACGGGGGCGGGGAGGGGCAAGGAAGTAAAGTGTTGGTCCGTGCTTCCAACCCTGGCCACACCTGGAATCACCTGGGAGCTTCTGACCTGCACCCAGGCCACCCTGGAGGCTCTGATTCACCAGGCGTTGGCTTTCTGTTGGTTGGTGTGTTTGTTAACTACCCAGGGGCAGCCAGAATTGAGAACAGGTGATTCATTTCCAACACAGAATAGCTGTTCACTCAACTGGAAAGGAAAAAAAAAATGTTTAGTGGT